>NT_187393.1:95314-99375 GCF_000001405.40 Homo sapiens | reverse complement strand
GCTGTAGAATCTGGAAATGTATATTTGGACCGCTTCGAGGCCTTCATTGGAAACTGGTATATCTTCACATAAACACTAGACAAAAGCACTCTCCAAAACTTCTTTGTGATGTGTGTATTCAAGTCACAGAGTTGAATCATTCTTTTGATAGAGCAAGTTTGAAACACTCCTTTTGTAGAATCGGCACCGGACATTTTTAAACCTATGAGGCCTATGGTGGAAAAGGAAATATCTTTAAATGAAAACCAGACAGAAGAATTCTAAGGAACTACATTGTGATGTTTGCATTCAACTCATAGAGTTGAACACACCTTTTCATAGAGCAGTTTTGAAACACTCTTTTTGTAGAATCTGCAAGTGAATATTTGGACTGCTTGGAGGCCTTCGTTGGAAACGGGAATATCTTCACATAATCACTAGACAGAAGCTTTCTCAAAAACTTTTTTGTACTGTGTGCATTCAACTCATAGAGTTGAAACTTTCTTTTGATAGAGCAGGTTTGAAACACTCTTTTAGTAGAATCTTCAAGTAGACATTTGAAGTGCTTTGAGGCCTATGGTGGAAAAGGAAATATCTTCCCATAAAAACTAGACAGAAGCATTCTCAGAAACTTCTTATGATGTGTGCATTCAATTCAGAGAGGTGAACATACCTTATCATAGAACACTTTTGAAACACTCTTTTAGTAGAATCTGCAAGTGGATATTTGCACTGCTTTGAGGCCTTCGTTGGAAACGGGATTATCTTCACATAAACACTAGACAGAAGCATTCTCAGGACCTTCTTTATGATGTGTGCATTCAACTCACAGAGTTGAACCTTTCTTTTCATACAGCAGGTTTGTAACCCTCTTTTTGTAGAAGCTTCAAGTGGACATAAGGCGAGCTTTGAGGCCTATAGTGGGAAAGGAAGTATTATTATATAAAAACCAGACAGAAGAATTCTAAGGAACTACTTTGTGATGTTTGCTTTCAAATCACAGGGTTGTACATACCTCTTCATAGAGCAGTTTTGAAGCACTCTTTTTGCAGAATCTGCAAGTGGATATTTGGAACGCTTTGAATCCTTCATTGGAAACGGGAATATCTGCAAATAAACACTAGATAGAAGCATTCTCAGAAACTTCTTTGTGATGTGTCCATTCAACTCACAGAGTTGAAGCTTTCCTTTAATGAAGCAGGTTTGCAACACTCTTTTTGTAGAATCTGTAAGTGGATATTTGAACCGCTTTGAGGCCTTCATTGGAAAAGTGGATATCTTCACATGAACACTAGACAGAATCATTCTCAGAAACTTCTTTGTGATGTGTGCATTCCACTCACAGAATTGAACCTTTCTTTTGATAGAGCAGGTTTGAAACACTTTTTTTGTAGAATCTGCAAGCAGACATTTGGAGAGCTTGGAGGCCTATGGTGGAAAAGGAAATATCTATAAATAAAAACTAGACAGAAGCATTGTCAGAAACTTCTTTGTGATGTTTGCATTCAACTCACAGAGTTGAACCTCCCTTTTCATAGAGCTGTTTTGAAACACTCTTTTCGTGGAATCTGCAAGTGGATATTTGGACCGCTTTGCAGTCTTCGTTGGAAACGGGAATAACTTCGCATAAAAACTAGACAGAAGCATTCTCAGAAACTACTTTGTGATGTGTGCATTCAACTCACAGAGTTGAACCTTCCTTTTCATAGAGCAGGGTTGAAACACTCTTTTTGCAGTATCTGTAAGTGGACATTTGGAGCTCTTTGAGGCCTATGGTGGAAAAGGATATATCTTCACATAAAAACTACAAAGAAGCATTCCCATAAACTTATTTGTGACGTTTGCATTCAACTCTCAGAGTCTAACATACTTTATGATAGATCAGTTTTGAAACACTCTTTTAGTAGTATCTGCCAGTGGATAATTGGAGGGCTTTGAGGCCTTCGTTGAAAACGGGAGTATCTTCACATAATGAAGCTTTCTCAGAAACTTCTTTGTGCTGTGTGTATTCAACTCACAGAGTTGAACCTTTCTTTTGATAGAGCAGGTTTGAAACACTCTTTTGTAGAATCTACAAGTGGACATTAGGAGCGCTTTGAGGCCTATGGAGGAAAAGGAAATATCTTCACATAAAAACTAGACAGAAGCATTCTCATAAACTTATTTGGATGTTTGCCTTCAATTCTCAGAGTTCAACATACTTTATCCTAGAGCAGTTTTGAAACACTCTTTTAGTAGTATCTCCAAGTGGATATTTGGACCGCTTTGAGGACATCATTGGAAACGGGAGTACCTACACATAATCACGACACACAAGTTTTCTCAGAAACTTCCTTTTACTGTGTGCATTCAACTCACAGATTTGAACATTTCTTTTGATAGAGCAGGTTTGAAACACTCTTTTTGTAGAATCTGCAAGTTGACATTTGGAGGGCTTTGAGGCCTATGGTGGAAAAGGAAATATCTTCACATAAAAACTAGAGAGAAACATTCTCAGAAACTTCTTTGTGATATGTGCATTCAACTCATGGATTTGAACCATTCTTTTGATATAGCAATTTTGAAACACTCTTTTTGTACAATCTGCAAGTGGACATTTGGAGTGCTTTGAGGCCTACGGCAGAAAAGGAAATATCTCCACATAAAAAAAGACAGAAGCATTCACAGAAACTTCTTTGTAATATGTGCATTCAACTCACAGAGTTGAACTTTTCTTTTGATGAAGCAGGTTTGAAACACTCTTTTTGTGGAATCTGCAAGTGGACATTTGGAGAGCTTTGAGGCCTATGGTGGAAAAGGAAATATCTTCACACAAAAACTAGACAGAAGCATTCTCAGAAACTTCTATGGGTTGTGTGCGTTCAACTTGCAGAGTTGAACATATCTTTTCATGGAGCAGTTTAGAAACACTCTTTTTGTAGAATCTGCAAGTGGATATTTGAACTGCTTTGAGGCCTTCGATGGAAACGGGAATATCTTCACATAAACACTAGACAGAAGCATTCTCAGAAACTTCTTTGTGATGTGTGCATTCAACTCACAGAGTTGAGCCTTTCTTTTGATAGAGCAGGTTTGAAACACTCTTTTTGTAGAAAAAAATTTTTGTAGAAAAAAATTTTCCACTGGAAGTGGACATTTCTTTTTAGCACTGAATATTTCATTGGATATAGCACAGTTTATATGTTGACTCACCTTCTGAAAAATATGTTGTTTGATTCCAACTCTTGGAAATCATAAGTGAAAATGCTATAAATATTCACCTGCAAGTCTTGGTGTGAACATACGTTTTGAACTCATTTCGGTAAATGACAAAGAGTGCAATGGCTGAATTGCATGGTAAGACTGTGTTTAGTTTTCTAAGAAACTGCCACATTGTCTTCCAAAGTGAAAATATACTGTTTTGCATTCCAGCCAGCAGTGAATGAGAATTTTTGTTGCTCTACATCTTTGCCAGCATTTGGTGCTTTCTGTGTTTTGAATTTTGATTATTCTAATGGATATGTTTTGGTATCTCATTGTTGTTTAAATATGCATTTCCTTGATGGCATATGATAAGCATCTTTTCATATGCTTACATGCAATTTGCATTTTTTTTTCTTTTTTTATTTTACTTTTTTTTAAATTATACTTTAAGTTTTAGGGTACATGTGCACATTGTGCAGTTTAGTTACATATGTATACATGTGCCATGCTAGTGCACTGCACCCACTAACTCGTCATCTAGCATTAGGTATATCTCCCAATGCTATCCCTCCCCGCTTCCCTCACCCCACCACAGTCCCCAGAGGGTGATATTCCCCTTCCTGTGTCCATGTGATCTCATTGTTCAATTCCCACCTATGAGTGAGAATATGCGGTGTTTGGTTTTTTGTTCTTGCGATAGTTTACTGAGAATGATGATTTCCAATTTCATCCATGTCCCTACAAAGGACATGAACTCATCATTTTTTATGACTGCATAGTATTCCACGGTGTATATGTGCCACATTTTCTTAATCCAGTCTATCATTGTTGGACATTTGGGTTGGTTCCAAGTCTTTACTATTGTGAATACTGCCGCAATAAACATACGTGTGCATGTG
>NT_187393.1:93800-95289 GCF_000001405.40 Homo sapiens | reverse complement strand
TTTACAGTCCCACCAACAGTGTAAAAGTGTTCCTATTTCTCCACATCCTCTCCAGAACCTGTTGTTTCCTGACTTTTTAATGATTGCCATTCTAACTGGTGTGAGATGCTATCTCATTGTGGCTTTGATTTGCATTTCTCTGATGGCCAGTGGTGATGAGCATTTTTTCACGTGTTTTTTGGCTGCATAAATGTCTTCTTTTGAGAAATGTCTGTTCATGTCCTTCGCCCACTTTTTGATGGGGTTGTTTGTTTTTTTCTTGTAAATTTGTTGGAGTTCATTGTAGATTCTGGATATTAGCCCTTTGTCACATAAGTAGGTTGCGAAAATTTTCTCCCATTTTATAGGTTGCCTGTTCACTCTGGTGGTAGTTTCTTTTGCTGTGCAGAAGCTCTTTAGTTTAATTAGATCCCATTTGTCAATTTTGGCTTTTGTTGCCATTGCTTTTGGTGTTTTGGACATGAAGTCCTTGCCCATGCCTATGTCGTGAATGGTAATGCCTAGGTTTTCTTCTAGGGTTTTTATGGTTTTAGGTCGAACGTTTAAGTCTTTAATCCATCTTGAATTGATTTTTGTATAAGGTGTAAGGAAGGGATCCAGTTTCAGCTTTCTACATATGGGTAGCCTGTTTTCCCAGCACCATTTATTAAATAGGGAATCCTTTCCCCATTGTTTGTTTTTCTCAGGTTTGTCAAAGATCAGATAGTTGTACATAAGTGGCGTTATTTCTGAGGGCTCTGTTCTGTTCCATTGATCTATATCTGTGTTTTGATACCAGTACCATGCTGTTTTGGTTACTGTAGCCTTGTAGTATAGTTTGAAGTCAGGTCGTGTGATGCCTCCAGCTTTGTTCTTTTGGCTTAGGATTGCCTTGGCAATGCGGGCTCTTTTTTGGTTCCATATGAACTTTAAAGTAGGTTTTTCCAATTCTGTGAAGAAAGGCTTTGGTACCTTGATGGGGATGGCATTGAATCTGTAAATTACCTTGGGCAGTATGGCCATTTTCACGATATTGATTCTTCCTACCCATGAGCATGGAATGTTCTTCCATTTGTTTGTATCCTCTTTTATTTCCTTGAGCAGTGGTTTGTAGTTCTCCTTGAAGAGGTCCTTCACATCCCTTGTAAGTTGTATTCCTAGGTATTTTATTCTCTTTGAAGCAATTGTGAATGGGAGTTCACTCATGATTTGGCTCTCTGTTTGTCTGTTGTTGGTGTATAAGAATGCTTGTGATTTTTGGACATTGATTTTGTATCCTGAGACTTTGCTGAAGTTGCTTAACAGCTTAAGCAGATTTTGGGCTGAGACAACGGGGTTTTCTAGATATACAATCATGTCGTCTTAAAATGGGGACTATTTGACTTCCTCTTTTCCTAATTGAATACACTTTATCTCCTTCTCCTGCCTAATTGCCCTGGCCAGAACTTCCAACACTATGTTGAATAGTAGTGGTGAGAGAGGGCATCCCTCTCTTGTGCCAGTTTTCAAA
>NT_187393.1:87861-91552 GCF_000001405.40 Homo sapiens | reverse complement strand
ATTATTAATGTGTGGGAGTCTAAGTCTCTTTGTAGGTCACTCAGGACTTGCTTTATGAATCTGGGTGCTCCTGTATTGGGTGCATGTATATTTAGGATAGTTAGCTCTTCTTGTTGAATTGATCTCTTTACCATTATGTAATGGCCTTCTTTGTCTCTTTTGATCTTTGTTGGTTTAAAGTCTGTTTTATCAGAGACTAGGATTGCAACCCCTGCCTTTTTTTGTTTTCCGTTTGCTTGGTAGATCTTCCTCCATCCTTTTATTTTGAGCCTATATGTGTCTCTGCCAGTGAGACAGGTTTCCTGAATACAGCACACTGATGGGTCTTGACTCTTTATCCAATTTGTCAGTCTGTGTCTTTTAATTGGAGCATTTAATCCATTTACATTTAAAGTTAATATTGTTATGTGTGAATTTGATCCTGTCATTATGATGTTAGCTGGTGATTTTGCTCGTTAGTTGATGCAGTTTCTTCCTAGTCTCGATGTTCTTTACATTTTGGCATGATTTTGCAGTGGCTGGTACCAGTTGTTCCTTTCCATGTTTAGCACTTCCTTCAGGAGCTCTTTTAGGGCAGGCCTGGTGGTGACAAAATCTCTCAGCATTTGCTTGTCTGTAAAGTATTTTATTTCTCCTTCACTTATGAAGCTTAGTTTGGCTGGATATGAAATTCTGGGTTGAAAATTCTTTTCTTTAAGAATGTTGAATATTGGCCCCCACTCTCTTCTGGCTTCAAGGGTTTCTGCCGAGAGATCTGCTGTTAGTCTGATGGGCTTCCCTTTGAGGGTAACCCGACCTTTCTCTCTGGTTGCCCTTAACATTTTTTCCTTCATTTCAACTTTGGTGAATCTGACAAGTATGTGTCTTGGAGTTGCTCTTCTCGAGGAGTATCTTTGTGTTGTTCTCTGTATTTCCTGAATCTGAATGTTGGCCTGCCTTGCTAGATTGGGGAAGTTCTCCTGGATAATATCCTGCAGCATGTTTTCCAACTTGGTTGCATTCTCCCCATCACTTTCAGGTACACCAATCAGACTTAGATTTGGTCTTTTCACATAGTCCCATATTTCTTGGAGGCTTTGCTCATTTCTTTTTATTCTTTTTTCTCTAAACTTCCCTTCTCACTTCATTTCATTCATTTCATCTTCCATTGCTGATACCCTTTCTTCCATTTGATTGCATCGGCTCCTGAAGCTTCTGCATTCTTCACATAGTTCTCGAGCCTTGGTTTTCAGCTCCATCAGCTCCTTTAAGCACTTCTTTGTATTGGTTATTCTAGTTTTACATTCTTCTAAATTTTTTTCAACTTTTTCAACTTCTTTGTCTTTGGTTTGAATGTCCTCCCTTAGCTCAGAGTAATTTGATCGTCTGAAGACTTCTTCTCTCACCTCGTCAAAGTCATTCTCCATCCAGCTTTGTCCCATTGCTGGTGAGGAGCTGCGTTCCTTTGGAGGAGGAGAGGTGCTCTGTGTTTTAGAGTTTCCAGTTTTTCCATTCTGTTTTTTCCCCATCTTTGTGGTTTTATCTACTTTTGGTCTTTGATGATGGTGATGTACAGATGGGTTTTTGGTGTGGATGTCCTTTCTGTTTGTTAGTTTTCCTTCTACCAGACTGGACCCTCAGCTACAGGTCTGTTAGAATACCCTGCCGTGTGAGGTGTCAGTGTGCCCCTGCTGTGGGGTGCCTCCCAGTTAGGCTGCTCGGGGGTCAGGGGTCAGGGACCCACTTGAGGAGGCAGTCTGCCCGTTCTCAGATCTCCAGCTGTGTTCTGGGAGAACCACTGCTCTCTTCAAAGCTGTCAGACAGGGACATTTAAGTCTGCAGAGGTTACTGCTGTCTTTTTGTTTGTCTGTGCCCTGCCCCCAGAGGTGGAGCCTACAGAGGCAGGCAGGCCTCCTTGAGCTGTGGTGGGCTCCACCCAGTTCGAGCTTCCTGACTGCTTCGTTTACCTAAGCAAGCCTGGGCAATGGGGGGTGCCCCTCCCCCAGCCTCACTGCTGCCTTGCAGTTTGATCTCAGACTGCTGTGCTAGCAATCAGCGAGACTCCATGGGCATAGGACCCTCCGAGCCAGGTGCGGGATATAATCTCGTGGTGCGCCATTTTTTAAGCCAGTCCGAAAAGTGCAATATTTGGGTGGGAGTGACCCGATTTTCCAGGTGCATCCATCACCCCTTTCTTTGACTCAGAAAGGACACTCCCTGACCCCTTGCACTTCCCAAGTGAGGCAATGCCTCGCCCTGCTTCAGCTCGTGCATGGTGAGCGCACCCACTGACCTGCGCCCACTGTCTGGCACTCCCTAGTGAGGTGAACCTGGTACCTCAGATGGAAATGCAGAAGTCACCCATTTTCTGCGTCACTCAGGCTGGGAGCTGTAGACCAGAGCTGTTCCTATTCGGCCATCTTGGGTCCTCCCTCCAAAAAACTCTTTTAGAAGAATCTGCAAGTGGATATTTGGACCGCTTAGAGGCCTTCACTGGAAACGGGAATATCTTCACATAAAAACTAGACAGCAGGATTCTAAGAAATTTTTTGTGATGTGTACATTCAACTAACAGAGTTGAAACTTTCTTTTGATAGAGCAGGTTTGAAACACTCTTTTTTTAGTATCTGCAAGTGGATATTTGTACTGCTTTGAGGTCTTCGTTTGAAACGGGAATATCTTCACATAAACACTGGACAGAAGCATTCTCAGAAACTTCTTTGTGATGTTTGCATTCAACTACTTACAGAGTTGAACATAATTTGTCATAGAGCAGTTTTGAAATGCTCTTTTTGTAGAATCTGCTAGTGGATATTTGGACTGCTTTGAGGCATTCGTTGGAAATGGGAATATCTTCATATAAAACTAGACAGAAACATTCTCAGAAACTTCTTTTTGATGTGTGCATTCAACTCACAGAGTTGAACATTTCTTTTGATAGGGAAGTTTTGAAACACTCTTTTTGTAGAATTTGCAAGTAGACATTTCTGAACTTTGAGGCTTATGGTGGAAAAGGAAATATCTTCACATGAAAACCAGACAGAAACATTCTCAGAAACTTCTACGTGATGTGTGCATTCAACTCACAGAGTTGAACCTTTCTTTTGATAGAGCAGGTTTGAAAAACTCTTTTTGTAGAATCTGCAAGTGGACTTTTGGAAAGCTTTGAGGCCTGTGGTGGAAAAGGAAATATCTTCCCATAAAAACTAGAGAGAAGAATTCTCAGAAACACCTTTGTGATGTTTGCCTTCAACTGACAGAGTTGAACATACCTTATCATAGAGCAGTTTTGAAACCATCATTTTGTAGAATCTTCAAGTGGAAATTTGGAGAGCTTTGAGGCCTAAGGTGGGAAAGGAAATATCTTCACATAAAAACTAGACAGAAGCATTCTCAGAAGTTTCTTTGTGATGTTTACATTCAACTGACAGAGTTGAACCTTTTTTTGATAGAGCAGTTTTGAAACACTCTTTTCGTAGAATCTGCAAGTGGATATTTGAAGTGCTTCGAGGACTTCATTGGAAGCTGGAATATCATCACATAAACACTAGACAGAATTATTCTCAGAAACTTCTTTGTGATGTGTGCATTCAACTCACAGAGTTGACCCTTTCTTTTGATAGATCGGTTTTGAAACACTCTTTTTGTAGAATCTGCAACTGGACATTTGGAGAGCTTTGATGCCTACTGTGGAAAAGGAAATATCCTCACA
>NT_187393.1:86716-87785 GCF_000001405.40 Homo sapiens | reverse complement strand
AAGCATTCTCAGAAACTTCTTTGTGATGTGTGCCTTCAACTCACAGAGTTGAAACTTTCTTTTGATAGAGCTGTTTTGAAACATTCTTTTTGTATAATCTGCAAGGGGACATTTGGAGAGCTTTCAGGCCTATGGTGTAAAAGGAAATATCTTCACAGAAAAACTAGACAGAAGCATTATCAGAAACTTCTTTGTGATGTGTGCATTCAACTCACAGAGTTGAACCTTTCTTTTGATAGAGCAGGTTTGAAACACTCTTTTTGCAGAATCTGCAAGTGGACATTTGGAACGCTTTGTGGCCTATATTGGAAAAGGAAATATCTTCACATAAGAATTAGACAGAAGCATTCTCAGAAACGTCTTTGTGATGTTTGCATTCAACTCACAGAGTTGAAAATACTTTACCATAGAGCAGTTTTGAGTCACTCTTTTAGTAGAATCTGCAAGTGGATATTTGGACCGCTTTGAGGCATTCGTTGGAAACGGGAATATCTTCACATAAACACTAGACAGAAGCTTTCTCAGAAACTTCTTTGTGCTGTGTGCATTCAACTCACAGAGTTGAAACTTTCTTTTGACAGAACAGGTTTAAAACAGTCTTTTTGTAGACTCTGCAAGTGGACATTTGAGCGCTTTGATGCCTATAGTGGAAAAGAAAATATCTTCCCATGAAAACTAGACAGTAGCACTCTCAGAAACTTCTTTGTGATGTTTGCCTTCAACTCACAGAGTTGAAAAAAACCTTATCATAGAGCAGTTTTGAAACATTCTTTTAGTAGAATCTGCACGTGTTTAATTGGACCGATTAGAGGCCTTTGTTGGAAACGTGAATATCTTCACATAATCACTAGATGGAAGATTTCTCAGAAACTTCTTTGTGCTGTGTGCATTCAACTCACTGAGTTGAACCTTTCTTTTAATAGAGCAGGTTTGAAACACTCTTTTTGTAGAATCTGCAAGTGGACATTTGGAGCACTTTGAAGTCTATGGTGGGAAAGGAAATATGTTCACATAAAAACTAGACAGAAGAATTCTGAGAAACTTCTTTGTGATGTGTGCATTCTTCTCA
>NT_187393.1:79125-86691 GCF_000001405.40 Homo sapiens | reverse complement strand
TTTGATTGAGCAGTTTACAGACACTGTTTTTGTAGAATCTGCAAGTGGGTATTAGGAGCGCTTTGAGACCTATGTTATAAAAGGAAATATCTTCACATAAAATCTAGACAGAACCAATGTGAGAAACCTCTTTGTGATGTGTGCATTCATCTCACAGAGTTAAACCTTTCTTTTAATTGAGCAGTTTTGAAACTCTTTTTTTGTAGAATCTGCAAGTGGACATTTGGAGTGCTTTTAGGCCTATGGTGGAAAAGGAAATATCTTCACATAAAAATAAGAGAGAAGAATTCTGAGAAACTTCTTTTGATGTGTGCATTCATCTCACAGAGTTGAACTTTCTTTTGATTGAGAATTATGGAAAAACTCTTTTTGTAGATTCTGCAAGTGGACATTTGAAGCGCTTTGCAGCCTATGTTAGAAAAGGAAATATCTTCACATAAAATCTAGACAGAGGCATTCTCAGAAACTTCTTTGTGATGTTTGCATTCACCTCACAGAGTTGAACCTTTCTTTTGATAGAGCAGGTTTGAAACACTCTTTTTTTGGAATCTGTAAGTGGACATTTGGAGCGCTCTGTGGCCTATGGTGGGAAAGGAATATCTTCATATAAAAACTAGGCAGAAGCATTCTCCGAAACTTCTTTGTGATGTTTGCATTCTACTCACAGAGTTGAACATTCATTTTCATGGATCATTTTTGAAACACTCTTTTTGTAGAATATGTTAGTGGATATTTGGACGGCTTTGAAGCCTTCGTTGGAAATGGGAATATCTTCACATAAAAACTAGACAGAAGCATTCTCAGAAACTTGTTTGTAATGTGTGCATTCACCTCACAGAGTTGAAACTTTCTTTTGATAGAGCATTTTTCAAACACTCTTTTTGTAGAATCTGCAAGTGGACACTTGGAACACTTTGAGGCCTATAGTGGAAAAGGAAATATCTTCCCATCAAAACTAGAGAGAAGCATTCTCAGAAACTTCTTTTTGATGTTTGCCTTCAACTCACAGAGTGGAACATACCTCATCATAGAGTCGTTTTGAAACACTCCTTTAGTAGAATCTGCCAGTGGATATTTGGCACGCCTTCAGGCCCTCCTTGGAAACGGGAATATCTTCACATAAAATCTAGACAGCAGCATTCTCAGAAACTTCTTTGTGATGTGTACGTTCAAGTCGCAGAGTTGAACCTTTCTTTTGATTGAGAAGTTTTGAAACACTCTTTTTGTAGTATCTGCTAGTGAACATTTGTAGCGCTTTTGGGCATCTAGTGGAAAACGAAATATCTTCACATAAAAAAATAGACAGAAGTATTCTTAGAATCTTCTTTGTGATGTGTGCCTTCATTTCAAAGAGTTGAAACTTTCTTTTGATTGAGAAGTTTTGAAACACTCTTTTATGTAGATTCTGCAAGTGGACATTTGCAGCGCTATGTGGACTGTGGTAGAAAAGGTAATATCTTCACAAAAAATCTAGACAGAAGGAATCTGAGAAACTTCTTTGGCATGTGTGCATTCATCTCACAGAGTTCAAAATTTCTTTTGACTGAGCAGTTTTGAAACTCTGTTTTTGAAGTATTTGCAAGTGGACATTTAGATCGTTTTGAGGCCTATGGTGGAAAAGGAAGTATCTTCACATAAAAACTTGACAGAAGAATTCTGAGAATCTCCTTTGTGATGTATGCATTTATCTCACAAAGTTGAATCTTCCTTTTGATTGAGCAGTTTAGAAACATTCTTTTTGTAGAATCTGCAAGTAGACTATTGGAGTGCTTTGTTGCCTATGGTAGAAAAGGAAATATCTTCACATAAAATCTAGACAGAAGCAATCTCAGAAACTTCTTTGTGATGTGTGCATTCATCTCACAGAGTTAAACCTTTCTTTTGGCTGAGTCGTTTTGAAGCTCTCTTTTTGTAGAATCTGCAAGTGGACATTTTGAGTGCTTTGAGGCCTACAGTGGGAAAGGAAATATCTTCACATAAAAACTAGACAGAAGAGTTCTGAGAAACTTCTTTGTGATGTGTGCATTCTTCTCACAGAGTTGAAACTTCCTTTTGATTGAGCAGTTTGCAGACACTCTTTTTGTAGAATCTGCAAGTGGACATTAGGAGCGCTTTGTGGTCTATGTTATAAAAGGAAATATCTTCACATAAAATCTAGACAGAACCAATGTGAGAAACCTCTTTGTGATGTGTCCATTTATCTCACAGAGTTAAACCATTCTTTTGATTGAGGAGTTTTGAAACTCTTTTTTTGTAGAATCTGCAAGTGGACATTTGGAGTGCTTTGAGGCCTATGGTGGAAAAGGAAATATCTTCACATAAAAACTAGAGAGAAAAATTCTGAGAAACTTCTTTGTGATGTGTGCATTCATCTCACAGAATTTAACCTTTCTTTTGATTAAGAATTATGGAAGCACTCATTTTGTAGATTCTGTAAGTGGACTTTTGAAGCACTTTGCAGCCTATGTTAGAAAAGGAAATATCTTCATATAAAATCTAGACAGAAGCAAACTGAGAAACTTCTTTGGGATGTGTGCATTCATCTCACAGGATTAACTCTTATTTTTGATTGAGCAGTTTTGAAACTCTCTTTTTGTTGAATTTGGAAGTGGACATTTGGAGCACTTTGAGGCTTATGGTGGAAAAGGAAATATCTTCACATAAAAACTCGACAGAAGCATTCTTAGAAACTTCTTTGTGATGTGTGCATTGATCTCACAGAGTTAAGCCTTTGTTTTGATTGAGCAGTTTTGAATCTCTCTTTTTGTAGAATCTGGAAGTTAACATTTGGAGCGCTTTGAGGCCTGTGGAGGAAAAGGAAATATTTTCACATCAAAACTACACAGAAGAATTTGGAGAAGCTTCTTTGTGATGCACGCATTTATCTCACAGAGTTGAACCTTTCTTTTGATTAAGCAGTTTGGAAACACTCTTTTTGTGGAATCTGCAAGTGGACATTTGGAGCGCTTTGCAGCCTATGTTAGAAAAGAGATATATTCCCATAAAATCTAGATAGAATCAATCTGAGAAACTTCTTTGTGATGTGTGCATTCATCTCACAGAGTTAAAACTTTCTTTTGATTGAGCTGTCTTGAAACTCTCTTATTGTAAAATCTGCAAGTGGACATTTGGAGCACTTTGAGGCCTATGATGGAAAAGGAAATATCTTCACATAAAAACTAGACAGCAGAATTCTGAGAAACTACTTTGTGATGTGTGCGTTCATATCACAGAGTTGAACCTTACTTTTGATTGAGCAGTTTGTAAACACTCTTTTTGTAGAATTTGCAACTGGACATTTGGAGCGCTTTGTGGCCTATAGTAGAAAAGAAAATATCTTCACATAAAATCTAGATAAAAGCAATCTGACAAACTTCTTTGTGCCATGTGCATTCATCTCACAGAGTAAACCTTTCTTTAGACTGAGCACTTTGGAAACTCTCTTTTTGTAGAATCTGCAAGTGGACATTTTGAATGCTTTGAGGCCTATGGTGGAAAAGGAATTATCTTCACATAAAAACTAGACAGAAGAATTCTGACAAACTTCTTTGTGATGTGTGAGTTCAGCTCACAAAGTTGAACATTTCTTTTGATGGAGCAGTTTGGAAACACTCTTTTTGAAGAATCTTTAAGTGGACATTTGGAGCTCTTTGCAGCCTATGGTGGAAAAGGAAATATCTTCACATAAGGTGTAGACAGAAGTAATCTGAAAACCTTCTTTATCATGTGTGCATTCATCTCACAGAGTTAAACCTTTCTTTTGATTGAGCAGTCTTGAAACTCTCTTTTCGTAGAATCTGCAAGTGGACATTTGTAGTGCTTTGAGGCCTATGGTAGAATAGAATATATCTTCACATAAAAACTAGACAGAGGAATTCTCATATACTCCTTCGTGATGTGTGCATTACTCTCACAGAGTTGAAACTTTCTTTTGATTGAGCAGTTTGAAGACACTCTTTTTGTAGAATCTGCAGGTGGACATTAAGAGCGCTTTGTGGCCTATGTTAGAAAAAGAAATATCTTCACAAAAAATCTAGACAGAAGCAATCTGAGAAACTTCTTTTTGATGTGTGCATTCATCTCACAGAGTTAAAACTTTATTTTGATTGAGCAGTTTTGAAGCTCTCTTTTTGTAGAATCTACAAGTGGACATTTAGAGCGCTTTGAGGTCTACGGTGGAAAAGGAAATATCTTCACAGAAAAAATAGAAGCATTTTTAGAAACATGTTTGTGATGTGTGCATTCATCTAACGGATTGAAACCTTTATTTTGATAGAGGAGTTTTAAAGCTCCCTTTTTGTATAATCTCTAAGTGGACATTTGAAGGGTGTTCAGGCCTATGGTGAAAAATGAAATATCATCACATAAAAATTACATAGAAGCATTCTGAAAAACTACTTTGTGATGTATGCATTCAACCCCTAGAGTTGAACATTCCTTTGAAGGATCAGTTTTGAAATACTCTTTTTGTAGAATCTGCAAGTGGACCTTTAGAGTGCCTTCGGGTCTACGGTACAAAAGGAAATATCTTCACATAAAAAGTAGAAAGAAGAATTCTGAGAAAGTTCTTTATGATGTGTGCATTCATCTAGAAAGTTGAACATTTCTTTGAATGAGCAGTTTGGAAACACTCTTTTGGTAGAATCTGCAAGTGGACATTTGGAGCGCTCAGCGGCCTATGTTAGAACAGGAAATATCTTCACATAAATTGTAGACAGAAGCAATCTGAGAAATTTCTCTGTGATGTGTGCATTCATCTCAAAGAGGTAAACCTTTCTTTTGATAGATCAGAACTGAAACTCTCTTTTTGGAGAATCTGCAAGTGGACATTTGGAGCAATATAATGCATGTGGTGGAAAAGTTAATATCTTCATATAAAAACTAGACAGACTCGAATGTCTTCTAATGGAACAGTCCATTAGATGATTCCATGTGACTCATTTCATTATGATTCCGTTCAATTCCATATGTTGATTTGATCAGATTCCATTCAATGATAATTCCATTCGTGTCCATTCAATGATTCTATTCAAATCCATTTGATGATTGCTTCTGATTCCATTCGATGGTGATTCCATTCGATTCCATTTTATGATGATTCCATTCAAAACCATTCTATGATTCCATTTGATACCATTCGATGATGATTCCATTCGATTCCATTTGATGATTCTATTCGATTCCATTCGATGATGATTCCTTTCGATTTCATTCAACGATTCAATTCGATTCCATTCGATGATGATTCCATTCGATTTCATTCAATGATTACATTTGATTACCTTCGATGATGATTCCATTCCATTCCATTCGGTGATTCTATTTGACAAGGATTCCATTCGATTCCTTTTGATGATTCCATTCGATTTCATTCGATGATGTTTCTATTCGATTATTCCATTCGATTCCATTCGATGTTGATTCCATTCGAGACCATTCGAAGATTCCACTCGATGATGATTCCATTCATGTACATTCGATGATGATTCCATTCGATGATGATTCATTTCGATTCCATTCGATGATGACTCCATTAGGTTCCATTTGATGATGATTCCATTTGTTTCCATTTGACGATGATTCCATTTGATTCCATTTGATGATTCCATTCGATTCCATTCGTTGATGATTCCATTCGATACCATTCAATGATGATTCCATTAAATTCCATTCGATGATGATTCCATTCGATGATGATTCCATTCAATTCCATTCGAAGATGATTCCATAAGATTTCATTCGATGATCCTATTTGATTCCATTCGATGATTCTATTGGATTCCATTTGATGATGATTCCATTCGATTCCATTTGATGATGATTCCATTCGAGCCCATTCAGTGATTCCATTCAATTCCATTCGCTGATGATTGCATTCGAGTCTATTCGATGATTCGATTCAATTCCATTCGATGATGATTCCATTCGATGTCACTCAATGATTCCATTCGTTTTCATTCAATTATGATTCTATTCGATTCCACTAGATGATTCCATTTTATTCCATTCGATCATGATTCCATTCGAGTCCGTTCAATGATTCCATTCAATTCCATTCGATGATGATTCCATTCAGGGCCATTCGAAGATTCCATTCAATTCCATTCGATGATTCCATTCGAGTCCATTCGATGATTTCATTTGAGTCCATTCGAGGGTGATTCCTTTTGATTCCATTCCATGATTATTTCATTCGATTCCATTCGATGATGTTTCCATTCGGAGCCATTCAAAGATTCCATTCAATTCCATTCGATGATTCCATTTGAGTCCATTCAATGATTTCATTTGAGTCCATTCGAGGATGATTCCTTTTGATTCCATTCCATGATTATTCCATTCGAGTCCATTCGATGAAGATTCCATTCGATTTTATTCAATGATTCCATTCGATTCCATTCGATGATGCTTCTATTCAAGTCCATTCAATGATTCCATTCGATTCCATTCAAAGATGATTCCATTCCAGTCCTTTAGATGATTCCATTAGATGATGATTCCATTTGATTCCTTTCAATGAATAAATTCGATTTCATTCAATGATGTCTCTATTCGAGTCCATTCGATGATTCCATTTGATTTCATACGATGATGATTCCATTCGAGCCCACTGGAAGTTTCCATTCGATTTCATTCTCAGATGATTACATTCGAGTCCATTCGATGATTCCACTTGATTCCATATGATGTAGATTCCTTTTGATTCCATTCGATGATTCAATTCTATTCCATTCAATGATGATCCCATTCGAGTACATTAGATGATTCCATTCAATTCCATTCCATGATGATTCTATTCTTGCCCATTAGATGATTTCACGCGATTCCATTCGATAATGATTCCATTTGAGTGCATTCGTTCATTCCATTTGATTCTATTAGATGATGATTCCATTTCATTCAATTCATTGGTGATTCCATTCAATTACATTCATTGATTCCATTCCGTGCCATTCGACAATGATTCCATTCAATTCCATTCGATGATTCCACTTGATTCCACTTGACAATGATTCCCTTCGATTCCATTCGATAATTCCCTTTTATTCCATTCAATGATGATTGCATTCGATTCCATTTGATGATTCCATTTGGTTCCATTCAGTGATGATTCTGTTCAATTCCATTTGATGATTCCATTTGATTACATTCGAGGATTCCATTCAATACCATTCGATGATCATTCCATTCGATTCCATTCAATGATTTCATTCGATTCCAATCGATGATGATTCCATTCCAGGCCATTCGATGATTCCATTCAATTCCATTCGATGATACTTCCATGCAATGCCATTAGATGTTTCCATTCGATTCCATTCGATGATGATTCCATTCGAGTCCATTCGATGATTCTATTCAATTCCACTCTATGATAATTCCATTCAATTCAATTCAATGATTCCTTTCGATTCCATTTGATGATGATTACTTTTGAGTCCATTCGATGATTGCATTCCAGCCCATTCAATGATTCCATTAGATTCCATGCAATGATGATTCCAATGAGTCCATTCGATGATTCCATTTGATTCCATTTGATGATGACTGCATTCGGTTCCATTC
>NT_187393.1:68195-79012 GCF_000001405.40 Homo sapiens | reverse complement strand
AATGATGATTCCATTCGAGTCCATTCGATGATTCCATTCGACTCCATTTGACGATTCCATTCGATGCTATTTGATAATTCCATTCAATTCTATTCAATGATGATTACACTCGACTCCATTTGATGAATCCATTCGAGTCCATTCAATGATGATTGCATTCGTTTCCATTCGATGATTCCATTCAATTCCATTTGATGATGATTCCATTCGAATCCTTTCGATGATTCCACTCGATTCCTTTCGATGACTCCGTTCGATCCCATTTGATGATTCCCTTTGATTCCATTTCATGATCCTTCCATTTGATTCAATTCGGTGATTCCATTCGATTCTATTCAATGATTGTTCCAATAGAATCCTATGGATGATGATTCCATTTGATTCCATTTGATTATGACTATATTCAATTCCATTTGATGGTCATTCCATTCGAGTCCATTCGATGATTCCATTCAATTCCATTCGATGATGATTCCATTCTAATCCATTTGATGATTCCATTCGATGATGACTGCATTCAGTTCCATTTGATGATTGCATTCGAGTCCATTGGATGATTCCATTCGATTCCATGTGATGATGATTCCATCGAGTCCATTTGATGATTCCATTTGATTTCATTTGAAGATGACTGCATTTGATTCCTTTCGATGATGATTCCAACAGACTCCATTCGATGACTCCAATTGATTCCTTTCATTGATGATTCCATTCGATTCCATTTGATGATGTTTCCATTCCATTCTATTCATTGATGATTCCATTCGATTCCATTCGATGATGTTTCCATTCAATTCCATTCGATGATGATTCCATTCGACTCCATTCCATCATTATTCCATCATTATTCCATTCGATTTCATTCAATGATGATTCCATTTGATGATTCCTTTTGATTCCATTCGGGTCCATTCGATGATTCCAGTCGATTCCATTTGATGATTATTCCATTCGATGATTCCATTCAATGATTCCATTCAATTCCATTCGATGTTTCCTTTCAATTACACTCGATATTGATTCCATTGGAGTCCATTCGATGATTCCATTCGAGTGCATTCCATGATTTCATTCGATTCCATTTGATGATGATTCCATTCGAGTCCATTCGATCATTCCATTTTATTTCATTTGATGATGATTCCATTCGATTCCATTCGATGATCCCTTTCGAGTCCAATGATTCCTTTTGAGTCCATTAAATGATTCCATTCGATTCCATTCGATAATCACTCCATTCAAATCCATTCAGTGATGATTCCATTTGATTCCATTCAATGATTCCGTTGGATTCTATTCTTTGTTTTATTTTGATTATTTTTGATGATGATCCTTTCTCTTTCATTCGATGATCCCATCTGATTCTAATCCATGATGATTCCATTCGATCCCATTTGATGAAAATTCCATTCGATTCCATTCGATGATGACTGCCTTCGATTCTATTTGATGCCGATTCTATTTGATTCCTTTTGATGATTATTCCATTCGATTCCATTCGATGATTCCATTCTATTCCATTCGATTATGATTCCATTCGAGACCTTTCGATGATTCCATTCATTTCCATTCAATAATGATTCTATTCGAGTCCATTTGATGACTCCATTCAAGTCCATTTGATGATTCCATCTGATTCCATTCGATGATGATTCCATTAGAGTCCATTCGATGATTCAATTCAATTCCATTCAGTGATGATTTCATTCGATTCCATTCAATGATTCCATTCCATTCCATTCGATGATGATTCCAATCAATTCCAATAGATGATTCCCTTTGAATCCATTCGATGATGAGTCTATTCATTTCAATTCCGTGATGATTCCCTTTGATTCAATTTGATGGTGTTTCCATTCGATTCCAATCGATGATGATTCCATTCGAATCCATTCAATGATTCGACGTGATTCCATTCGATGACTCCATTCGATCCTATTTGATGAATCCCTTCGATTCCATTCGATGATCATTCCATTTGATTCAATTCAGTATTCCATTCGATTCTATTAAATTATGATTCCATTCGACTCCATTCGATGATGATTCCTTTTGATTCCATGCGACTATGATTTAATTCAATTCCTTACAATTATGATTCCTTTCAATTCCATTCGATGATGACTGCATTCAATTCCATCTGATGATGATTCCAACGGATTCCATTCGATTTCTCCATTTGATTCCATTCATTGATGATTCCATTCGTTTCCATTAAATGATGATTCTATTAGATTCCATTCAATGATGATTCCATTCAATTCCATTCAATGACGATTCCATTCAATTCCATTCAATAATGATTCCATTCGATTCCATTCGATGATTCAATTCGATTCCATTCAATGGTGATTCTATTAGGGTCCATTCAATGATTCCATTTGATTCCATTCGAGTACATTCAATGATTCCATTCAAGTCCTTTTGATGATTCCTTTCGTTTCCATTCAATGATGATTCCATTCTAGTGCATTCGATGATTCCATTCGATTCCACTAAAAGATGACTCCATTCGAGTTGATTAGATGATACCATTTGATTCCTTGTGATGATAATTCCATCGAGTCCATTTGACGATACCATTTGATTCCATTCGATGCTGACTGCATTCAGTTCCATTCGATGATGATTCCAAAGGACTCCATTCGATGACTCCATTCGACTCCATTCATTGATGATTCCATTCGATTCCATTCAATTCCATTCGATGATGATTCCATTCGATTCCATACGGTCATGATTCCATTCAATTCCATTCCATGATGATTCCTTTCAATTCCATACGATCATGATTCCATTCGATTCCATTCCATGATGATTCCTTTCAATTCCATACGGTCATGATTCCATTCGATTCCATTCCATGATGATTCCTTTCGATTCCATTCAATGATTCCATTCCTGTCCAATCAATGATGATTCCATTCGTGTCCATTCGATGATTCAGTTCTAGTCCCTTCATTGATTCCATCCGATACAATTTGATGATGTTTCCATTCGAGTCCAATCGATTATTCCATTTGATTCCATTTGATGATTCCATTCGAGTCCATTCGATTATTCCATTCGAGTCTATTCGATGATTCCATTCGATTCCATTCAATGATTATTACATTTGATTCCATTAGATGATTCCGTTCGATTCCATTTGATGATTCCCTTTGATTTCTTTCGATGATGATTCCATTCTATTCCATTCGATGATACCATTCTATTTGATTCGATGACGATTCCTTTCAATTCCATTCGATGATGATTCCATTCGATTGCATTTGATGATGACTGCATTTGGTTCAATTTGATGATGATTCCAACGGATTCCATTCGATTTCTAGATTTGATTGAATTTGTTGATGATTCCCTTCAATTCCATTAGATGATAATTCCATTCAATTCCATTCAATGATGATTCCTTTTGATTCCATTCAATGATGATTCCATTTGACTCCATTCGATGATGATTCCACTCGATTTCATTCGATGATTCCATTCGATTCCATTCCATGATGATTCCATTCGAGTCCATTCAATGATTCCATTCAAGTCCATTCGATGTTTCCTTTCTATTCCATTTGATGATGATTCCATTCGAGTCCATTCGATGATTCCATTCGATTCCATTCGATGATGATTCCATTTGGGTCCATTCGATCATTGCCTTTGATTTCATTCAATGATGATTCCATTCGATTCCATTTGATGATTGCATTCTATTTCATTTGATGATGAGTCCATTCGAGTCCATTTGATGATTCCATTCGAGTACATTTAATGAATCCATTGGTTTCAATTCGATGATGATTACATTGGATTCCATTCGTTGGAGATTCCATTCGATTCCATTAGATGATGATTCCATTCGATTTCATTCGATGATTCTATTCTATTCCATTCGATGATTATTCCATTTGAGTCCATTCGATGATTCCATTCGATTCCATTCAATGATGATTGCATTCAAGTCCATGGATTATTCCATTCCATTCCATTCGATGATTCCATTCAAGTCCATTCGATGATTCTCTTCAATTCCATTCGATAATTCCGTTTGATTCTGTTTGATGTTGATTCCATTTGAGTCCATTCAATGACAATTACGTTCGATTCTATGCGATGATTCCATCCGATTCCATTTGAAGATGATTCCATTCGAGACCATTTGATGATTCCATTCAATTCATTTGATGGCGATTCCATTCAATTCCATTCGATGATTCCATTAGATTCCATTTGATGATGATTTCATTCGATTCCATTCGATGATGATTCCATGCGATTCCATTCGATGATGACTCCTTTCGTTTCCATTCAATGATGATTCCATTCGGTTCCATTTGATGATGATTCCTTTGGATTCCATTTGATGACAATTCCATTCAATTCCAATTGATGATGATTCTTTTCGATTCCATTCAATGATGATTCCATTCGATTCCATTTGATCATGATTCCATTCAATTCCACTCAATGATTCCATTTGATTCCATTCAATGATGATTCCATTCGAGTTCATTGATTATTCCATTCCATTCCATTCGATGATTCCATTCGAGTCCATACGATGATTCTATTCAATTCCATTTGATAATTCCATTCAATTCCATTTGATGATAATTCCATTTGAGTCCATTCGATGATTATTCCATTCGATTCTATTCGGTGATTCCATTCGATTCCATTTGATAATGATTCCATTCGAGACCATTCCATGATTCCATTCAATTCATTCGATGATGATTCCATTCAATTCCATTTGATGATTCCATTCAATTCCATTTGATGATGATTCCATGCAATTCAATTCGATGATGACTCCTTTTGGTTCCATTCGATGATGATTCTATTCGGTTCCATTCAATGATGATTCCATTCAATTCCATTCGATGATGATTCCATTCGAATCCATTCGATGATTCCACTCGATTCCATTCGATGACTCCGTTCAATCTCATTCGATGATTCCCTTCGATTCCATTCGATGATCTTTCCATTTGATTCAATATGGTGACTCCATTCTATTCTATTCAACTCAACAATGATTCCATTCGACTCCATTAGCTGATGATTCCTTTCCATTCCATTCGATTATGATTTCATTTGATTCCATTCGATGATGATTGCATTCGAGTCTATTTGATGATTCCATTCGATTCCATTCGATGATGATTCCACTCAATTCCATTGGGTGATTCCATTCGTGTCCATTCTATGATTTCAGTAGATTCCATTCAATGATGAATCCATTCAATGCCATTCGATGATTCCATTCGATTCCATTCCACGATGATTCCATTCGTGTCCATTTAATGATTCCATTCGTTTCCATTTGATGATGACTTCAATCAAGTCTGTTCGATTATTCCATTTAATTCCATTCGGTGTAGATTCCATGTTAATCCATTTGAGGATTCCAATTGATTCCATTTTATGATGACTGCATTCGGTTCCATTTGATGATGATTCCAACGGATCCCATTCGATTTTTCCATTTGATTCCATTCGTTGATGATTCCATTCGTTTCCATTAGATGATGATTGCACTAGTTTCCATTCGATGATGATTCCATTCGATTCCATTCAATAACCATTCCATTTGATTCCATTCGATGATGATTCCATTCGATTCTGTTCAATGACGATTCCATTTGATTCCATTCAATGATGATTCCATTCGATTCCATTCGATGGTTATTCCATTCATGTCCATTCGATGATTCCATTCGATTCCATTCGAATATGATTCCATTCGATTACTTTCAATGATTCAATTAAAGTCTGTTGTATGATTCCTTTCGACTCCATTCTGTGATGATTCCATTCGAGTGCATTCGGTGATTCCATTTGATTCCATTCGATGATGATTCCATTCGAGTCTATTAGATGATTCCATTCGATTCCATTTGATGATGATTCTATTCGAGTCCATTCGATGATTCCATGTGAGTTCATTCTATGATGACTCTATTCAATTCAATTCGATCATTCCGTTCAATTCCATTTGATGTTGATTCTATTTGATTCAATTTGATAATGATTCCATTCGAGTTCATTCGATGATTCCATTCGATGCTATTCAATGATTCCATTCAATTCCATTCGATGATGATTCCATTCTAATCCATTTGATGATTCCATTCGATTCCATTCGATGATGACTGCATTTGGTTCCATCTGATGATGATTCCAACGGATTCCATTCGATTTCTCCATTTGATTCTATTAGTTGATGATTCCATTCTTTTCCATTTGTTGATGATTCCATTTGATTCCAATCGATGATGATTCCATTCAATGATTATTCTATTCAATTCCTTTCGATGGTGATTCCTTTAAATTCCATTCTCTGATGATTCCATTCGATTCCATTCGATGATTCCTTTCAATTCCATTCTATGATGATTCCATTCGAGACCATTTGATGATTCCATTTGACTCCATTTGATGATGTTTCCATTCAATGATTCCATTCGATTCTATTAGTTGATGATTCCATTTGATTTCATTCGATGCTGATCCTTTCAATTCCATTCGATGATTCCATATGATTCCATTCGATGATTCCATTCAATGACATTCAAAAATGATTCCATTCGACTCCATTCGATGATTCCATTCAATTCTATTTGATGATAACTCCATTTGATTCCACTAGACGATGACTGCATTCGATTCCATTCGATGATTCCATTTGATTCCATTCGATGATGATTCTGTTCGATTCCATTTGATGATTGCATTTGATTCTATTCGAGGATTCCATTCAATTCCATTCGATGATGATTCCATTCGAGTCCATTCGATGATTTCATTCGAGTCCATTCAATGATTCCATTCGTGTCCATTTGATGATTCCATTCCATTCCATTTGATGATGATTCCATTAGAGTTCATTTGATGACTCCCTTCAAGTCCATTCATTAATTCCATTTGAGTCCTTTCGATGATTCCATTCGATTCCATTTGGTGATTCCATTCGAGTCCATTTGATCATTACATTCGAGACCATTCGGTGATTCCATTGGATTACCTTTGATGATGATCCCATTCGATTCCATTTGATGATAATCCCATTCGATTCCATTCGATGATGATTCCATTCGATTCCACCCAATGATTCCATTCGATTCAATTCAATGATGATTCCATTCGAGTCCATTCAATGATTCCATTCGAGTCCATTCATCGAATCCATCCAATTTCATTTGATGATGATTCCATTCGAGTCCATTTGATGATTCCATTCGAGTCCATTTGATGATTCCATTGAAGTTCATTTGATTATTCCATTCGAGTCCATTTGATGATTCCATTCGATTCCTTTCAATGATAATTCCATTCGAGTCCTTTCGATTATGATTCCTTTCAATTCCATTCGATGATTCCGTTGATTCCATTTGATGATTCCCTTCGATTCCTTTCCATGATGATTCCATTCCATTCCATTCGATGTTTCCATTCGATTCTATTCCATGATGATTCCTTTCGATTCCATTCGCTGATGATTCCATTCGATTCCATTAGATGATGATTCCATTCGAGTCCATTCGATGTTTCCTTTCGATTCCACTCGAAGTTGATTCCATTTGAGTCCATTCAGTGATTCCATTCACGTGCATTCCATGATTTCATTTGATTCCATTCGATGATTCCATTCTAGTCCATTCAACGATTCCAGTCGAGTCCATTAAATGATTCCATTCAACTCCATTCGATGATAACTATATTTGAGTCCTTTCAATGATTATTCCATTTGATTCCCTTCAATGAGTCTGTTATATTCCATTCTTTGTTTTACTTTGATTCTTTTTGATGATGATTCCATTCTATTTCATTCGATGATCCCATTCGATTTTATTCGATGATGATTCCATTCGATTCCATTTGATGAAAATTCCATTCGATTCCATTCGTTGATGATTCCATTCGATTCTATTCAATGCCGATTTTATTCAATTCCATTCGATGATGATTCCATTCAAAACCATTCACTGATTCCATTCAATGATGATTCCATTCGAGTCCATTCGATGATTCCATTCGATTCCATTCAATGATTCCATTCGATTCCATTCGATGATGATTCCATTCGAGACCATTCAATGATTCCATTCAATTCCATTCAATGATGATTCCATTCATGTCCATTCGATGATTCCATTCACGTCCATTCAATGATTCCATCTGATTCCATTTGATGATGATTCCATTCGAGTCCATTCGATGATTACATTTGATTCCATTCCATGATGACTCCTTTGAAGCCCAGTGGATGATTGCATTCGAGTCAATTCGAAGATGCCATTTGATTCCATTCGATTATGATTCATTTCAATTCCATTCGGTGATGACTTTGTTCGGTTCCATTTGATGATGAATTCATTTGATTCCTTTCAATGATGATTCCATTCAATTACATTCGATGATGATTCCATTCGATTCCATTCGATGATGATGCCATTCAATTCCATTCGATGATGATTCCATTTTATTTCATTCAATGATCCTATTTGATTCCATTCGATGATGATTCCATTCTATTCTGTTTGATGATTCCATTCGATTCCATTCGATGACGATTCTATTCAATTCCATTTGATGATGATTCCATTCGATTCTATTCAGTGATGATTCCATTTATGTCCATTCAATGTTTCCATTCGATTTCATTCAATGATTATTCCACTCGATTCCGTTAGATGATTCCATTTGATTCCTTTCGATGATGATTCCATTCGGTGCCATTTGACTATTCCATTTGATTTCATTCGATGATGATTCCATTGATTTATTTTGATGATTCCTTTCCATTCCATTCGTTGATTATTCCATTCGAGTCCATTCAATGATTCCATTCTATTCCATTCAATGATGACTCCATTCGATTCCACTCGAAGATTCAATGCAATTTCATTTGAAGATGATTCCATTCGAGTCCATTCGATGTTTCCATTCAATTCCATTCAATGATTCCATTTGATTCCATTCGATGATGATTCCATTCGAGACCATTCGATGATTCCATTCAATTCCATTCGATGAGGATTGCATTCGAGTCCATTCAATGATCCCATTCAAGTCCATTCGATGATTCCATCTGATTCCATTTGAAGATGATTCCATTGATTTCATTTGATTATTCCTTTCCATTCCTTTCGATGATTATTGCATTCGAGTCCATTCAATGATTCCTTTTGGTTCCATTCGATGATGACTCCATTCAAGTGCATTCGAAGATTCAATGCAATTTCATTTTATTATGATTCCATTCGAGTCCATTCTATGATTCCATTCAATTCTATTCGATGATGATTCCATTCTAGTGCATTAGATGATTAAATTCGTTTTCGTTCAATGATGATTCCTTTTGATTCCATTCGATGATTCCCTTCGATTCCATTTGATGATGATTCCATTCGGGTCCATTTGACACTTCCATTCGAGTCCATTTGATGATTCCATTCGAGTCCAAATTTCATTTCACTCAGTTCCCGTCGATGATGTTTCCGTATGATTCCATTCGATGATGATTCCATGTGATTCCATTCAATGATGATTCCGTTCGAGTCCATTTGATGATTCTATTCAATTCCATATGATGATGATTCCATTCAATTCCATTCATTGGTGATTCCATTCATTTCTATTCATTGATTCCATTCCATTCCATTCAACAATGATTCCACTCGATTTCCTTTGATGATTCCACTCGATTAAACTTGACGATGATTCCATTTGATTCTATTTGATGACTCCATTTTATTCTATTCAAAGATGATTCCATTCAATTCCTTTTGAAGATGATTGCATTCAATTCCATTCGATGATTCCATTCGTTTCCATTTGATGATGATTGCGTTCGATACCAATTGATGATTCCATTTGATTCCATTTGAGGATTCCACTCGATTCCATTCGATGATGATTCCAATCGAGTACATTCAATGATTCCATTCGAGTCCATTTGATGATTCCATTCGATTCCATTCGATGATGATTCCATTAGAGTCCATTCGAAGATTCCATTTGATTCCATTTGATGATGATTCCATTAGAGCCCATTCGATGATTCCATCCGAGTCCATTTGATGATTCCAACCATTTACATTCAATGATGGTTCCATTCGAGTCCCTTCTTTGATTCCATTTGATTCCATTCTCTGATGACTGCATTCGGTTCCATTCGATGATGATTCCAACGGATTCCATTCGATTTCTCCATTCGATTCCCTTCCTTGCTGATTCTATTCAATTCCATTAGATGATGACTCCATTAGATTCCATTCGATGATGATATCATCAGATCCCATTCGATGACGGTTCCATTCGATTCTATTCAATGAAGATTCTATTTGATTCCATTCGATGATTTCATTCGATTCCATTCGATGGTGATTCCATTAGTGTCCATTTGATGATTCCATTGAATTCCATTCGATGAAGATTCCATTAGAGTCCATTCAATCATTCCATTGAAGTCCATTCGAAGATTCCTTTTGATTCCATTCGATGATGATTCCATTTGAGACCATTCGATGATTCCATTCGATTCCTTTCAATGATGATTCCATTCGAGTCCATACGATGATTCCATTTGATTTCATTCCATGATGATTCCATTCGTTTCCGTTCGATTATTCCATTCTATTCCATTCAATGATGATTCCATTTGAGTCCATTTGATGATTCATTTCGAGTCCATGTAATGATTCCATTGGGTTCAATTCGATGATGATTACATGGGATTCCATTCGATGATTCCACTCGATTCCATTCGTTGATGATTCGATTCGATTCCATTCGTTGATGATTCCATGTGA
>NT_187393.1:6180-68006 GCF_000001405.40 Homo sapiens | reverse complement strand
GATTCCATTTGAATTCATTCAATGATTCTCTTTGTTTCCATTGGAAGATGAATCTATTCCATTTCATTCAGTGATTCCATTTGAGTCCATTCAATGGAGATTAAATTCGATTTCATTCGATGATTCCATTCGATTCCATTCAATGATTTTTGTATTCGAATCCATTCGATGATTCCATTCCATTCCATTCAAAGATGGTTCCATTCAATTCCATTCGATAATTCCATTCGATTCCATCAGATGATTCCAATGGATTTTATTTGATGATGATTCTATTCGAGACCATTCATTAATGCCATTCAATTCCATTTGATGATGATTCCTTTTGAGTGCATTCAATGATTCCAATCAGTTCCATTCAATGATGATTCCATTCAAGTCCATCTGATGATTCTATTCGATTCCATTCTATAATGATTCCGTTTGAGTCCATTTGATGATTCAATTCGGGTCCTTTCGATTATTCCCTTCGATTCCATTCGATGATGATTTGGTTCAAGTCAATTTGACGCTTCCCTTTTAGTCCACTTGATGATTCCATTCAATTCCATTCTATGATGACTCCGTATGATTCCATTCCAAGATGATTCCATGTGATTCCATTCGATGATGATTCCTTTCGATGCCATTCGATTATGATTCATTTTGAGTTCATTCGACGATTCCACATGATTCCATTCAATGATGATTCCATTAGAATCAATTTGATGATTCCATTCGATTCCATTCGATGATGATTCCATTCGAGTTCATTCGATGATTCCATTCTATTCCATTCCATGATAATTCCATTTGAGTCCATTCGATGATTGCATTCTATTCCATTCGATGATGATTCCATTCGAGTCCATTCGATGATTGCATTCGAGTCCATTCGATGATTCCGTTCGATTGCGTTCGATGATGATTCCATTCGAGTTTGTTCGATGATTCCATTCAATTCCATTCAATGATAATTCCATTCAAGTCCATTCGATGATTCCATTCTATTCCATTCGATGATGATTCCTTTCGAGTCCATTCGATGATTGCATTTGATTCCAGTAGGTGATTCCATTCTATTCCATTCGATGATGATTCCATTCAAGTCCATTTGATGATTCCATTCGATTCCATTCGAGGACGACTGCATTCGGTTCCATTCGATTATTCCATTCAATTCCATTCAATGATTCCATTTGATTCCATGCAATGATGTTTCCATTCGATTCCATTCAATGATTCCTTTCGTTTCCATTCGATTATGATTCCATTCAAGTCCATTCGATGATTTCATTCTAGTCCCTTCATTGATTCCATCTGATTCCATTTGATGATGATTCCATTCAAGTCCATTAAATGATTCCATTTGATTCCATTCATTGATGATTCTATTTGATTCCATTCAATAATTCTATTCTATTGCATTCAATGATGATTCCATTCAATTCCATTGTATGGAATTGAATACTTTCGATTTCATTCGATGATGAATCCATACGAGTCCATTCGATGATTCCATTCGTTTCTATTTGATGATGATTCCATTGGATTTCTTTTAATGATTCCATCCGATTCCATTCGTTGTTGGTTCCATTCAATTCCATTCGATGATGATCCCATTGGATTCCATTCGATGATTCCATTCGACTCCATTCAAAGATTCCATTTGAGTCCATTCTTTGACACCATTTGGTTCCATTCTATGATGATTGCATTCGAGTCAATTTGATGATTCCATTCGATTCCATTCGATGATTCCTTTTGATTCCATTTGATTCCATTCGATAATGATTGCATTCGATTCCTTTCGATGCTTCCCTTCAATTCCATTCAAAGTTGATTCCGTTCGAGTCCATTCGATAATTCCATTTGATTCCATTCCATGATGACTCCATTCGAATCCATTCGATGATTCCATTCAATCCCAGTCAATGATGATTCCATTCAATTCCATTTGATGATTCCATTGGATTCCATTCGATGATGATTCCATTCGAATCCATTCGATGATTCCATTCAAGTCCATTTGATGATGATTCCATTCGAGTGCATTCAATGATGATTCCATTCGAGTTCATTCTATGATTCCATTCTGTTCCATTCAATGATACTTCCATTTGAGTCCATTCAATGACTCCATTCTATTCCATTCGATGATTATTCCATTCGAGTCCATTCGGTGATTGCTTTCGAGTCCATTCGATGATTCCATTCGATGATGATTCCATTCGATTCGATTCGATGACGAACCATTTGCTTCAATTTCATGATTATTCCATTTCATTCAATTCGATGATGTTTCCATTCCAGTCCATTTGATGATCATTCCATTCGAATGCATTTGACGATGATTCCATTCGAGTCCATTCGATGATGATTCCATTCAAGTCCACTCATTGATGATTCCATTGGATTTCATTGGATGCTTCTCTTCGATTCCATTTGATGATGATTCCATCTGATTCTGTTCAATGATTCCATTCCATTCCATTTAGTGATGATTCCATTCGATTCCCTCTGATGATGATTTCATCTGATTTCATTCTATGATGATTCCATTTGATTGCATTTGATGATGATTCCAATCGAGTCCATTCGAAGATTCCATTCGATTCCATTCGATGTTTCCATTCGATGCCATTCGATGATGATTCCATTCGATTCCATTTGATGATTCCATTCGATTCCATTCGATGATGATTCCATTAGAGTCCATTCAATGATTCCATTAGATTGAATTCAATGATGATTCCACTCGAGTCCCTTCAATGATTCCATTTGATTCTATTGGATGATCCCTTCCGATTCCATTCGATGATTCCATTCGATTCTATTCGATGATCATTCCATTCGGTTCCATTTGATGATTCCATTCGATTCCATTCATTGATGATTCCATGTGATAACATTTGATGATGATTCCATTCGATTCCAGTCGATGATGATTCCATTCAATTGCAGTCGATGATGATTCCATTTGAATCCAAATGATGATTCCATTCGATTGCAGTCGATGATCATTCCATTCGAATCCATATGATGATTCCATTCGATTCCATTTGATGATTCCTTTCGATCCCATTCAATGATTCCCTTCGATTCCATTCGATGATCATTCCATTCAAATCAGTGATACCATTCGATTCCATTGGATGATGATTCCACTCGATTCCATTCCATGATGATTCCATTTGAATCCATGTGATGATGATTCCATTAGTTTCCATTTGATGATTCCATGCGATTCCATTTGTTGATGATTCCATTCGATTCCATTCGATGATGATTCCATTAGATTCCATTCGATGATGATTCCATTAGATTTCATTCGATGATTCTATTTGATTCCATTTGATGATGATTCCCTTCTATTCCATTCGATAATTCCATTCGATTCCATTCTATGATGATTCAATTCGATTCCTTTTGATGATGATTCCATTTGATTCCATTCGATGATGATTCCACTGGTGTCCATTCTACGATTCCACTCGATTCCATTCGATTCCATTCGATGATGATTCCATACGAGTCCGTTAGATGATTCCATTTGATTCCATTGGATGATGATTCCATTCGATGCCATTCGATGGTTCCATTCAATTTCATTGATGACGATTCCATCTGATTCCATTCGATGATTCCATTTGATGAGGATTCCATTAGAAGCAATTCGATGATTCCATGATATTCCATTCGATGATGATTCCATTCATTCCCATTCAATAATTCCATTCGAGTCCATTTGATGATTCCACTTGAGTCCATTCGATGACACCATTTGTGTCCATTCGATGATGATTCCATTCGAGTCCATTCGAAGATGATTCCATTCATGTCCATTCAATGATGATTCCATTTGATTCCCTTCGTTCATGTTTCCATTAGATTCCATTCAAGGATGATTCCATTTGACTCCGTTTGATGATGATTCCATTCAATATCATTCGATGTTTCCATTCGATGCCATTCGATGATGATTCCATTCGATTCCATTTGATGATTCCATTCGATTCCACTCGATGTTGATTCCATTCGATTCCATTCGATGATTCCATTTGATTCCATTTGATGATGAGCCATTTGATTTAATTCCATGATGATTCCATTTGATTCAATTCGATGATGTTTCCATTCGGTTCCATTCGATGATGATTCCATTCGATTCCATTCTACGATGATTCCATTCGAGTCCATTCGATGATTATTCCATTCGATTCCATTCGATGGTTATTCCATTCATGTCCATTCGATGATTCCATTCAATTCCATTCGAATATGATTCCATTCAATTACTTTCAATGATTCCATTTGAGTCCGTTCGGTAATGATTCAATTCGATTTCATTCAATGCCTCTATTTGATTCCATTCAATGATTCCATTCGATTCCATTCAGTGTTGGTTCCATTCGATTCCATTCGATGATGATTTTATTCGATTTAATTTGATGATTCCATTTGATTCCATTCGATGATGATTCCATTTCAGTCCATTGGATGATTCTGTTCATTTCCATTTGGTAATGATTCCATTGGAATCCATTCAATGATTCCATTTGATTCCATTCATTGATGATTCCAATCGAGTCCATTTAATGATTCCATTCGTTTCCCTTTGATGATGATTCCTTTGGATTCCATTCGATGATTCCATTTGATTCAATCCATTGATTATTCCATGAGATTCCATTCAATGATGATTCCATTTGACTGCATTCGATGATGATTCCAGTTGATTTCATTCGATGCTTCTATTCGATTTCATTCGATTATGATTCCATCTGATTCCATTCGATGATCCCATTCGATTCCATTCAGTGTTGATTCCATTTGATGATGATTCCATTTGATTCCATTAGATAATGATTCCATTCGACCCCCTTCGATGATTCCATTCGAGTCCATTCAATGATTCCATTCGAGTCCATTCGATGATTCCATTGGACTCCATTTGATGATGATTCCATTCAATGATTCCATTCGATTCTATACTACGATGATTCCATTCGATTTTGTTCGATGTTGATTCTTTCAATTCCATTTGATGATTCCATTCGATGATTCCATTCGATTACATTCGACGATGATTCCATTCGAATCCATTCGATGATTGCATTTGATTCTATTTGATGATGATTCCATTTGATTCCATTTGATGATGACTGCATTAGTTTCCATTTGAGGATTCCATTTGATTCCATTTGATGATGATTCTGATAGATTCCATTCGATGATTCTATTTGCTTCCTTTCAATGATTCCATTTGATAATGATTCCATTCGAGTCCACTCGATATTTCCATTCGAGCCCATTCAATAATTCCATTTGGGTCCAATCGATGATTCCATTTGAGTCCATTCGATCATTCCATTTGAGTCCATTCGATTATGATTCCATTCGAGTCCATTTGATAATTCCATTTGATTCCATTAGATGATAATTCCATTCGAGTGCATTCTATGATGATTCCATTCGAGTTCATTCAATGATTCCATTCTATTCCATTCGATGTTGATTCCATTCCACTCCATTCGATGATGATTCCATTCGATACCATTTTATGATTCAGTTCGATTCCATTCGATGACTCACTTTGATTCATTTTGATGATGATTCCATTCGATTCCATTCGATGATTCCTTTCAATTTTATTTGATGATGATTCCATTTGAATCCGTTTGATGATGCGTCCTTTTGATTCCATTTGATGATGATTCCATTCGTTTCCTTTCGATGATGATTCCTTTTGATTCCATTTGATGATGATTCCATTCGATTCCATAGAGGCTGATTGCATTCGAGGCCATTCGATGATTCCATTCGAGTCCATTCAATGATGACTCTATTTGATTCAATTCGATGGTGATTCCATTTGAGACCATTCAATGATTCCGTTCGATTCCATTCGATGATTCCATTCGATTCCATTTGATGATGATTCCATTTGATGCCATTCGATGATGATTCCTTTTGAATCCATTCGATAATGACACCGTTAGATTCCATTTGAGGATGATTCCATTCAGTTCCATTGAATGATGATTCCATTAGATTCCATTCAATAATTCCATTCCATTCCATTCATTGATTATTCCATTCGAATCCATTTGATGATGATTCTTTTTGATACCATTTGATGATGATTCCATTCGAGTCCATTCGATGTTGATTCCATTGGATTCCATTCAATGATGACTCCATTCGATTTCATTTGATGATTTTATTCGTTTCCATTCGATTCCATTCCATGATAATTCCTTATGAGTCCATTTGATAATTCCATTCGATTTGATTCGATGATGATTCCATTCGAGTCCGTTAGATGATTCCATTCAGTCCCATTCTATGATGCTGTTAGATTACAGTTGACGATTCCCTTCGATTCCATTCAATGATTATTCCATTCAATTCCATTCGATGATTCGAGTCGATTCCATTCAATGATGATTCCACTGGATTCCATTTGATTATGATTCCATTCAATTCCATTCGATGATGATTTCATTCGATTCCAAACGATGATGACTCCATTAGGTTCCATATGATGATGATTCCACTGTGTTCCATTCGATGATGATTCCAGTGGATTCCATTTGGTGATGATTCCATTCGATTCCATTTGATGATGATTCAGTTGGATTTCATTCTGTATTTCTATTCGATTCCATTCAATGATGATGCCTTTCTATTCCATTCGATGATTCCATTTGATACCATTCAATGATGATTCCATTCGATAATGTTTCCATTCCACTCCATTCAATGATGATTCCATTAGAGTCCATTTCATTATTCCCTTTGATTCAATTCGATGATGATTCCATTAGAGTCCATTCGATGATTTCATTCAATTCCATTTGATGATGAATCCATCTGATGCCATTCGATGATTCCATTCCATTTTATTCGATGATGATTCCATTCAATTGCATTCGATGATTCCATTTGCTACCATTCGATTATGATTCCTTTCATGTCATTCGATGTTTCCATTAGATTGCATTTGAAAATGATTCCATTCGAGTCCATTCAATGATTCCATTTGAATCCATTCGATGATGATTTCATTCAATTCCATTTGATGATTCCATTTGATTCCATTCGATGATGATACCATTTGAGACCATTCGATGATTCCACTTGATCCCATATGATCATTCCATTTGAATCCACATAATGATTCCATTTGAGTTCTTTCAGTGATTCCATTCGATTCCATCCAATGATTCCATTCGATTCCATTCAATGTTTCCATTCGATTCCATCCGATGATGATTCCATTCAAGTCCATTCGATGATTCCATTTGAGTCCATTCGATGATTACATTTGATTCCATTTGATGATGATTCCATTCAATTCCATTGGATGATTCTATTTGATTCCGTTCGATGATGATTCCATTAGATTCCACTCAATGATGATTCCTTTTGATTTCATTCGATGAATCCATTCTATTCCACTTAATGATGATTCCATTCAATTCCATTCGATGATTCCATTCTATTTCATTTGATGATGTTTCTATGAGAGTCCGTTTGGTGATTCCATTCCTTTCCATTTGATTATGATTCCCTTTGTGTCCATTTGATGATTTCATTCGATTCCATTCTATGATACCATTCGAATCCATTTGATGATTCCCTTCTATTCCATTCAATGATCATTCCATTCGATTCCATTCGATGATGGTTCCATTGGATTCCATTCATTGATGATTCCATTCGATGATGACACCATTAGGTTCCACTTGATGATGATTCCATTCAGTTCCATTCGATGATGATTCCAATAGATTATGTTCAATGATTCCATTCGATTCCATTCATTGATGATTCCATTTGATTCTAATCAATGATGATTCCATTCGATTCCATTCGGTGATGATTCAATTTGATTTCATTCGATAATGCTATTCAATTCCATTCATGATGATTCCATTCTATTCCATTCGTTGATTCCATTCAATTAGATTCAATGATGATTCCATTCCATTCCATTTGATGATGATTCCATCCGATGTTATTCGATGATTCCATTAGATTTCATTCGATGATGATTCCATTCGATTCCATTCGATGATGATTCCATTCGATTCAAATAGATGAAGATTCCTTTCGAGTAAATTCGATGATTCCATTAGACTCCATTCGATGATGACTCCATTCGAGTCCATTCGATGATTCCATTCGATTCCATTCAATGATGATTCCATTCGAGTCCATTTGATGATTCCATTCGATTCCATTCAATGATGATTCCACTCGAGTCCATTCAATGATTCCATTACATTTCATTCGATGATTCTGTTCGATTCCATTAGATGAGGATTCCGTTCTATCCCATTCGACAATTCCATTCTATCCAACTCAATGATGATTCCATTCATTCCATTCGATGATGATTCCATTCGAGTGCATTAAATGATTCCATTCGATTCCATTCAATGATGATTCCATTCGGGTCCATTCGATGATTCCATTTGATTCTATTGGATGATGATTCCATTCGATGCCATTCCATGATTCCATTCGATTTCATTCGATGGTGATTCCTTTCCATTCCATTCATTGATGATTCCATTCAATTCCATTCTATGATGATTCCCTTCTAATCCATTTGATAATGATTCCATTAGATTCCATTCGATGATTCCATTCGATGATGATTCCTTTCGTGTACATTTGCAGATTCCATTCGATTCCATTTGATGATGACTCCATTCGAGTCCATTCCATGATTCCATTTGATTCCATTCGTTGATGTTTCCATTCGAATCCATTCGATGATCCCGTTTGATTCCATTTAATGATGATTCCATTCGAGTTCACTCGATGATTCCATTTGAATCCATTCGATGATTATTCCATTCGAGTCCATTCGAAAATTCTGTACGATTTCATTTGATGATGATTCCATTGGAGTTCATTTGATGATTCCATTCGAATCCATTCGTTGATGATTCCATGCGAGTCCATTCAATGATTCCATTCGATTTCATTCGACGATTCTATTCGATTCCATTTGAGGATGATTCCATTCTATTCCATTCAATGATTCCTTTCGATTCCATTCGATGATGATTCCCTTCATTCCACTCGATGATGATTCCGTTCAATTCCATTCGATGATGATTCCATTCGAGTCCATTCAATGATTCCATTCGCTTCCATTCAATGTTGATTCCATTCAATTCCATTCGATGATTCCATTTGATTCCATTCGTGATGATTCCATTCGTGTCCTTTCGATGATTCCATATGATTCCATTCGATCATACCGTTTCATTCCATTCGATGATTCCCTTTGATTCCATTCAATGATCATTCCATTTGATTCCATTCGAAGATTCCATTCGATTGTATTTGATGCTGATTCCATTCGCAACCATTCGATCATGATTCCATTCGAATCCTTTCGATGATTATTCCATTCATTTCCATTCGATGATTACTCCATTTGGTTCCATTTGATGATGATTCCATTCGGTTCCATACTATGATCATTCCATTAGATTCCATTCAATGATTCCATTCGATTCTGTTCAATGATGATTCCATTCATTCCATTCAATGATTCCATTTGATTCCTTTCGATGATGATTCCACTTGAGTCCATTCAATAATTCCATTCGATTCCATTTGATGATGATTCCATTTGTGTCCATTCGATGTTTCCATTCGATTCCATTTGGTGATGAGTCCATTTGATGCCATTCGATGATTCCATTTGATTTCATTCAATGATTATTGCATTAACTTCCATTCATTGATGATTCCATTTGATTCCATTTGATGATGATTCCATTCGAATCCATTCCTTGATGATTCCATTCGAGTCCAATCGAGGATTCCATTTGAGTCTATTTGATGATTCCATTCGTTTCCATCCCATTATGATTCAATTCGAGTCCATTTGATGATGATTCCATTCAATTCTATTTGATGATTCAAATCGATTCCATTCAGTGATTCACTTCGAATACTTTTAATGATGATTCCACTCGATTCCATTCGATGATTCCATTCGATTCCATTAGATGAGGATTCCATTCTATTCCACTCGATGATTCTATTTGATTCCGTTCAATGATGATTCCATTTGATTCCATTCAGTGATTCAATTCGCTTCCATTCGATGTTGATTCCATTGGATTCCATTTGATGATTCCATTCGATTCCTTTTGATTCCATATGATTTTCATTGCATTCAATTCCATTGATGATGATTGCATTAGAATCCATTCGATGATTCCATTAGTGTCCATTTGATGATTCCATTCGTGTCCATTCCACGATGATTCCATTTAATTACATTCGATGACGATTAAATTCGACTCCATTTGATGATTCCATTCCCTTCCATTCGATGAGGATTCCATTCTTTTCCAGTCGATTATTACATTCGATTCCATTCAATGAGGATTCCATTCCATTCCATTAGATGATTCCAATCGATTCAATTCGATGATGATTCCATCCAATTCCATTCGTTGATTCCATTCCTTTCTATTGGATAATGATTTCATTCGTGTCCATTCGATGATTCTGTTTGAAGCCATTTGATGTTTGCTTTTGTTTCCATTCTATGATGACTCCATTCGATTCCATTTGATGATGAATCCATTCGACACCATTCTATGATTCCATTCAATTCCATTCGATGATGATTCCATTTGATTCCATTCGATGATTCAATTCACCTTCATTTGATGTTGATTCCTTTTGATTCCTTTTGATAATTCCTTTTGATTCCATTTGATGATGATTCCATTCGTGTCCATTTGATGATTTAATACAAATCCATTCAAACATACTGCTCAATTCCATTCGATGATTCCCATTGATTCCATTCGATGATCATTCTATTTGATTCCATTCAATGATTCCATTCGATTGCATCCAATGCTGATTCCATTCACAACCATTCGATGATGATTCCATTCAATTCCATTCGATGCTGATTCCATTGCATTCCATTTGATGATGACTCCATTAGGTTCCATTTGATGATGATTCCATTCGGTTCCATACAATGATGATACCGTTAGATTCCATTTGATGATTCCATTCGATTCCATTCGATGATGATTCTATTTGATTCCACTCGATGATGACTCCATTTGGTTCCATTTGATGATGATTCCACTCAGTTCCATACGATGAAGATTCCATTAGATTCCATTCGATTTCATTCGATGATGATTCCATTCGATTCCATTCGTTGATGATTCCATTCGATTCCATTTGATGATGATTCCATTTGATTTCTTTCTTTAACTCTATTCGATTCCATTTGATGATGATTCCATTCGGTTCCATTTGATGATTCCATTCGATTCCATTCATTGATGATTCCATTCGATTCCATTTGATGACAATTCCATTCAATTACATTCGATGATGATTCAATTAGATTTCATTCTATAACTCTATTCGATTCCATTCAATGATGATTCCATTCTATTCCATTAGATGATTCCATTGTATTCCATTCAATGATTATCCCATTCGATTCCATTCGATGATGACTCCAATCATTTCCATTCAATGATGATTCAATTCGAGTCCATTCGATGATTCCATTCGATTCCATTCAAAGATGATTCCATTCTAGTCCATTCGATGATTCCATTGGATTCCATTCAATGATTCCATCCAATGCCATTCGATGATTTCATTCAATTTCGTTTGATGATGATTCCATTTGATTCTATTCGATGATTCCATTCGATTCCATTTAATGATCATTCCTTTCGATTCCATTCGATGTTTCCATTCAATTCATTCGATGATGATTCCATTCGAGTCCATTCAATGATTCCATTCGAGTCCATTCGATGTTTCCATTCGGGTCCATTTGACTATTCCATTCGATCCCATCCCATGATGATTCCATTCGAGTCCATTCAGTGATGATTCCATTCGATTCAATTCGATGATTCAATTTGATTCCATTCGATGATTCACTTCAATATCTTTCAATTATGATTCCATTCCATTCCTTTCAATGATTCCATTCGATTCCATTTGATGATGATTCGTTTGGACTCCATTTGAGTTTAATTTCATTTGATTCCATTGATGATGTTTGCATTCTAGTCCATTCGATGATTCTATTAAAGCCCATTCGACAATTCCATTCAAGTCCATTCAACGATGATTCCATTCAATTCCATTCGATGAGGATTCCATTCCTGTCCATTAGATGATTTGATTCGTTTCCATTGGATGATGATTCCATTCATGTCCATTCAATTATTCTGTTCGAATCCATTCGATGTTTGCTTTCAATTCCATTCGATGATGATTCCATTCTATTCCATTTGATTATGATTCCATTCGATACCATTCTATGATCCCTTTCATTTCCATTCGATGATGATTCCATTCCATTCCATTCAATGATACCATTCGATGAGGATTCCATTGAATTCCTTTCTATGATTCCATGCAATTTCATTCAATGATGTTTCTATTCGAGTCCATTCGATGACTCCATCCAATTCCATTCTATGATGATTCCATTCGAGTCCATTCGAAGTTTCCATTCGATTCCATTCGATGATGATTCCATTCGAGTCCATTCTATGATTCAATTCAATTCCATTCGATGTTTCCCTTCGATTCCATAAGATGGTCATTCCATTCGATTCCAATCGTTGATGATTCCATTGGACTCCATTCGATGTTGATTCCATTTGAATCCATTCGATGATGATTCCATGCAATTCCATTCGATGATGATTCCATTAGGTTTCATTTGATGATGATTCCTTTCAGTTCCATTGGATGATGATTCCATTAGTTTCCATTTGATGATTCCTTCCGATTCAATTCGTTGATGATTCCATTCAATTCCATTCGATGATTATTTCATTTGATTCCATTCAATGAGGATTCCATTCGATGATGATTCCATTTGATTCCTTTGAATGATAATTCCATTTGATTTCATTTGATGATTCTATTTGATTCCATTTGTTGATGATTCCATTTGATTCCCTTCGATGATGATTCCTTTCCTTTCCATTTGATGATTTTTCCATTCGATTCCATTGATGATGATTGCATGAGAGTCCATTCAATGATTCCATTCGTGTCCATTTGATGATTCAAATCGAGTCCATTAGAAAATGATTCCATTCGATTCTACTCAATGATGATTCCAATTGATTCCATTTGATGATTATTCCATGCGATTCCATTCGATGATGATTCCATTAGGTTTCATTTGATGATGATTCCATTCGGTTCCATTGGATGATGATTCCATTCCATTCCCTTCAATGATTCCATTCGATTCCTTTCGTTGATGATTCCATTCGATTCCATTTGATGATGATTTCAATTGATTCCATTTGATGATGATTCCATTCGATGAGGATTCCATTCAATTCCATTTGATGATAATTCCATTTGATTTCATTCAATGATTCTATTCCATTCCATTTGATGATTATTCCAGTCAATTCCATTGATAATGATTGCATAAGATTCCATTCAATGATTCCATTCGTGTCCATTTAAAGCTTCCATTCGAGTCCATTTGAGGATGATTCCATTCGATTCTATTCGATGATGATCCCATTCGAGTCCATTCGATGATTCCATTCGTTTCCATTCGATGAGGATTTCATTCCAGTCCATTAGATGATTCCATTTGATTCATTTCAATTATGATTCCATTCGATTCCATATGTTGATTTGATCAGATTCCATTCAATGATGATTCCATTTGTGTCCATTCAATGATTCTATTCAAATCCATTTGATGATTGCTTTTGATTCCATTCGATGGTGATTCCATTTGATTCCATTTGATGATGACTCCATTCAAAACCATTCTATGATTCCATTCGATAACATTTGATGATGATTCCATTCGATTCCATTTGATGATTCAATTCGATTCCGTTTGATGATGATTCCATTCAATTTCATTCGATGATTCCATTTGATTTCATTCGATGATGTTTCTATTCGATTATTCCATTCGATTCCATTCGATGTTGATTCCATTCGAGACCATTCAAAGATTCCATTCGATTCCATTTGATGATTATTCCATTCGTGTACATTCAATGATAATTCCATTCGATGATGATTCCTTTAGATTCCATTCGATGATGACTCCATTAGGTTCCATTTGATGATGATTCCATTCGGCTCCATTTGATGATGATTCCATTCCATTCCATTCAATAATTCCATTCGATTCCATTCGTTGATGATTCCATTTGATACCATTCAATGATGATTCCATTCGATTCCATTGGATGATGATTCCATTCTATGATGATTCCATTTGATTCCATTCAAAGATTATTCCATTGGATTTCATTCGATGATCCTACTCAATTCCATTTGATGATTCTATTTGATTCCATTTGATGATGATTCCATTTGATTCCATTCGATGATGATTCCATTCGAGCCCATTCAATGATTCCATTCAATTCCATTCACTGATGATTGCATTCGAGTCTATTCGATGATTCCATTCGATTCCATTCGATGATGATTCCATTTGATGTCATTCAATTATTCCATTTGTTTTCATTCGATTATGATTCCATTTGATTCCATCAGATGATTCCATTTGATTCCATTCGATCATGATTCCATTCGAGTCTGTTCAATGATTCCATTCGATTCCATTCGATGATGATTCCATTTGATGTCATTCAATGATTCCATTTGTTTTCATTCGATTATGATTCCATTCGATTCCATTAGATGATTCCATTTGATTCCATTCGATCATGATTCCATTCGAGTCCGTTCAATGATTCCATTCGATTCCATTTGATCATGATTCCATTCGGGGCCATTCGAAGATTCCATTCAATTCCATTCGATGATTCCATTCGAGTCCATTCGATGATTTCATTCGAGTCCATTTGAGGATGATTCCGTTTGATTCCATTCCATGATTATTCCATTCGAGTCCATTCGATGAAGATTCCATTCGATTTTATTCAATGATTCCATTCGATTCCATTCGATGATGCTTCTATTCAAGTCCAATGATTCCATTTGATTCCATTAGAAGATGATTCCATTTCAGTCCTTTAGATGATTCCTTTAGATGATGATTCCATTTGATTCTTTTCAATGATTAAATTCGATTTCATTCAATGGTGTTTCTATTCGAGTCCATTCCATGATTCCATTCAATTCCATTCTATGATAATTCCATTGGAGGCCACTGGAAGTGTCCATTTGATTTCATTCGATGATGATTCCATTCGATTCCATTTGATGATTCAATTCGATACCTCTCAATGATTCCCTTCAATTCCATTTGATGATAATTCCATTTCGATCCCATTTGATGATTCCATTCGATTCCATTCGTTGACGATTCCATTGGACTGCATTAGATGATGATTCCATTTGATTGCATTTGATGATTATTGCATTCCATACCATTCTATGATTCCATTTGATTCCATTCGATGAGGATTCCATTGGAGTCCATTTGATGATTCCATTCGATTCCATTCGATGATTCAGTTCAATTCCATTCAATGATTCCCTCCTATTCCATTCGAAGATAATTCCATTTGAGTCCATTCAATGAATTCATTAGATTCCATTTGGTTTTGATTCCATTCGAGTCCATTAGAGGATGATTCCATTCGAGTTCATTCCATGATTCCATTCAATTCCATTTGGTGATGATTCTACTCGATTCCATTTGATGGTGATTCAATTCGATTCCATTTGATGGTTATTCCATTCTATTCCATTCAATGATTTCATTCAATTCCATTTGATGATTTCATTCGACTCCATTCGATAATTCCATTCGATTCCATTTGATGATTCCATTCAATTCCATTCGATGATTTCATTTGATTCCATTTGATAATTCCATTCGATTCCATTTGATGATGATTCCTTTCGAGTCCATTCGCTTATTCCGTTCTATTCCATTAGATGATGATTACATTCGAGTCCATTCCATGATTCCATTCAATTCCATTAGATGATTATTCCATTCAATTCCACTCAATGATGATTCCTTTAGATCCCATTCCCTGAGGATTCCATTCGATTCCATTTGATGATGATTCTATTAGTTTCCATTCGATGAGGATTCCATTCAAAGATGATTCTATTCAATTAATTTTGTTTTTTTTTATTACGTTCGAAGTTGATTCCATTCTATTTCACTGGATGATTCCATTCCATTCCATTCGATGATTATTCCATTTGATTCTGTTCGATGATGAGTCATTTTGATTCCATTCGATGATGATTCAATTCGATTGCATTTGATGATGTTTCCGTTTGATTCCATTCAATGATGATTCCATTTGATTCCATTCCATGATGATTCCATTAGAGTCCATTCAATGATGATTCCATTCTTGTCCATTCAATGATTCCATTCGATTCCATTCAATGATGATTCCATTCGAGTCCATATGATGATTGCATTTGATTCCATTCGATGTTGATTCCATTCGAGTCAATTCGATGATTCCATTCAAGTCCATTTAATGATTCCATTGGGTTCAATTCGATGATGATTACTTTGGATTCCATTCTACAATTCCATTCGATTCCATTCGTTCATGATTCCAATCAATTCCACTCAATGATGATTCCATGCGATTTCATTCAATGATTCTATTCGATTCCTTTCGATGACGAATCAATTCTATTCCATTGGATGATTCTATTCGATTCCATTCGATGACGATTTCATTCGATTCCATTGGATGATGATTCCATTCAATTGCATTTAATGATGATTCCATTCGTGTCCATTCGAAGTTTCCATTTGATTACATTTCATCACGATTCCGTTCCAGTCCATTCGATGATTCCATTCGACTGCATTCGACGATGATTCCATTCGACACTATTCAATGATTCCATTAGATTATATTCGATGATGATTCCATTTGACTGCATTAGATGATTCCATTAGAGTCCATACCATTATTCCGTTAGATTCCATTCAATGATGATTCAATTCGATGCCATTCGATGATTCTGTTGGATTCCATTTGATGATGTTTCCATTCGAGTCCATTTGATGATGACTGCATTGGATTCCATTCAATGATTCCATTTGATTCCATTCGATGATGATTCCATTCAATTCCATTCGATGATTCCATTCGATTTCATTTGATGATTCCAACTGATTCAATTCGATAATGATTCCTTTCGAGTCCATTCGATGATTACATTCGAGCCCATTTGATATTTCCATTTGAGTCCAATCCATGATTCCATTCGAGTCCATTCAATTATTCCATTTGAGTCCATTCGATGATTTCTTTTGATTCCATTTGATGATATTCCATTCGACTCCATTCCGTGATTCCATTCGATTTCATTCAATGATGATTTCTTAGGTGTCTATTAGATGATTCCATTCTATTCCATTTGATGATGATTCCATTCGAGTCCATTCAGTGATTCCATTCGATTCCGTTCTATGATTATTCCATTCGAGTCCAATCGATGTCTCCATTCGATTCCATTTGATGATGATTTCATTCGAGTCCATTCAGTGTTTCCATTCGATTCCATTCAATGATTCCATTCGACTCCATACGATGATTCAATTGGAGTCCATTCGATTATTCCATTAGATTCCATTCGATGATGATTCCACTCGATACCATTCAGTGATTACATTCTATTCCTTTCAATGATGATTGCATTCATGTCCATTCGAATATTCCTTTTGATTCCATTGGATGATGATTTCATTTGAGTCCATTCGATGATGATTTCATTTGTGTCCGTTTGATGATGATTCAATTCGATTACATTCGATGATTCTATTCGATTCATTTCAATGATGATTCCATCTGATTCCATTCGATGAATCCATTCAATTCCATTCTATGATAATTCCATTCGTTTCCATTCGATGATGATTCCATTCGATTCCATTCAATGATTCCTTTTGATTCCATTCAATGATGATTCCAAACAATTACATTTGATGATTCCATTTGAATCCATTTGATGATGAGTCCATTCGTTTCAATTTGATGATGATTCCATTCGATTCAATTCGATGGTGTTTCCATTCAATTCCATTGGATATTGATTCCATTGGATTCCATTGGATGATTATTCCATTCGAGTCCATTCGATGATGATTCCATTGGAGTCCATTTGATGATGATTCCAATCGATTTCATTCAATGATTCTATTTGATTCCATTCGATGATGATTCCATCTGACACCATTTGATGATTCCATTCGATTCCATTTGATGATGATTCCATTCATTTCCATCCAATGATGATTCTATTTGATTCCATTCGATGATTATTCCATTCATGTCCATTCAATGTTTCCATTCGATACCATTCAATGATGATTCCATTCGAGTCCGTTGAATGATTCCTTTTGACTCCATTCAATGATTCTATTTAATTCCATCCATTAATTCCGTTCAATTCCATATGATGATTATTCCATTTGAGTCCATTTGATGATTATTCCATTTGATTCTATTCGGTGATTCCTTTCGATTCCATTTGATAATGATTCCATTCGAGACCATTCGATGATTCCATTCATTTCATTTGATGATTCCATTCAATTCCATTCGATGATTCCATTAGATGCCATTTGATAATGATTCCATTTGATTCCATTCGATGATGATTCCATGCAATTCCATTTGATGACGACTCCTTTCGCTTCCATTCGAAGATGATTCCATTCGGTTCCATTCGATGATTATTCCTTTGGATTCCATTCGATGATGATTCCATTCAATTCCATTCAATGATTCCATTCGATTCCGTACGATGATGATTCCATTCCAGTCCATTCGATGATTCCATTCTATTCCTTTCGAAGATTATTCCATTCGAGTCCATTCGGTGATTCCTTTTGATGCCAATTGAAGATTTTTCCATTCGAGTCCATTTGATGATACCATTCGATACCATTCGTTGATGATTCCATTCAAGTGCATTTGATGATACCATTCGATTCCATTTGATCATGATTCCATTCGATGATTCCATTCAATTCCATTCTATGATCATTCCATTTGAGTCCATTTGATGATTCCATTGGACTCCATTTGATGATGATTCCATTCAATGATTCCATTCGATTCTATTCAATGATGATTCCATTCGATTCCATTCAATAATGTGTGCATTCTATTCCATTTGATGATTCCATTCGATTCTATTCGATGATGATTCCATTCGTGTCCATTCTTTGATTCATTTCGATTTCATTCAACGATGATTCCTTTTGAGTGCATTAGATTACTCCATTCAATTCCATTTGATGACAATTCCATTCGAGTCCGTTCAGTGATTCCATTCGATTCCATTTGATGATGATTTCATTCGATTCCATTTGATGATTCCATTCGATTCCATTCGATGATGATTTCATTTGAGTCCAGTCGATGATTCCATTTGATTCCATTTGATGATGATTTCATTCGATTCCATTTGATGACTCCACTCGATTCCATTTGATGATGATTTCATTCGAGTCCATTCGATGCTTCCATTTGATTCCATTCGATCATGATTTCATTCGAGTCCATTCGATGATTCCATTTGATTCCATTCGATGATGATTGCATTCGAATCCATTCAATGATTCTATTCGAATCCATTTGATGATTGCTTTTGATATTTGATGATTATTCCATTAGAGTCCATTCGATGATTCCATTCGATTCCATTCGATGATGATTCCATTCGAGTCCATTTGGTGATTCTGGTTGCTTCCATTCTCCGATGATTACATTCGAGTCCATTCGATGATGCCACTCGATTCCATACAATGTAGATTCTTTTGATTCCATTAGATGATTCCATTCTATTCCATTCAATGATGATTCCATTCGAGTACATTAGATGATTCCATTCAATTCCATTTGATGATGTTTCTATTCGTACCCATTAGATGATTTCACATGATTCCATTCAATAATGATTCCATCCGAGTGCATTCGTTCATTCCATTTGATTGCATTCGATGATGATTCCATTTCATTCAATTCATTGGTGATTCCATTCAATTACATTCATTAATTCCATTCCATGCCATTCGACAATGATTCCATTCGATTCCATTTGATGATTCCACTCGATTCCAATTGACAATGATTCCCTTCAATTCCATTCGATGATTCCCTTTGATTCCATTCAATGATTCCATTTGATTCCATTCAATGATGATTCTGTTCGATTCCATTTGATGATTCCATTTGATTACATTCGAGGATTCCATTCGATACCATTCAATGATCATTCCATTCGATTCCATTCAATGATTTCATTCGATTCCAATCAATGATGATTCCATTCCAGGCCATTCGATGTTTCCATTCGATTCCATTCAATGATGCTTCCATGCGATGCCATTAGATGTTTCCATTCAATTCCATTCGATGATGATGCCATTCGAGTCCATTCGATGATTCTATTCGATTCCACTCTATGATAATTCCATTTGATTCAATTCGATGATTCCTTTTGATTCCACTCGATGATGTTTCCATTCGAGTCCGTTTGATGATTGCATTCAAGTCCATTCGATGATTCCATTCGATTCCATGCAATGATGATTCTAATGAGTCCATTCGATAATTCCATTTGATTCCATTCAATGATGACTGCATTCAGTTCCATTCGATGATGATTCCAACGGACTCCATTCGATGACTCCATTCAATTCCATTCATTGATGATTTCATTCCATTCCATTCAATGATGATTCCATTCGATTCCATTCGCTGATTCCACTTGATTCCATTTGATGATGATTCCATTCGAGTCCATTCGATGATTCCATTCAAGTCCATTCGATGTTTCCTTTCGATTCCACTCGATGTTGATTCCATTTGAGTCCATTTGATGACTAAATTTGAGTGTATTCCATGATTTCATTCGACTCCATTCGATGATGATTCCATTCGAGTCCATTCGATGATTCCATTTGATTTCATTCGATGATATTTAAATTCGATTCCATTCAATGATTCCTTTCGAGTCCATTCGCTGATTCCAGTTGATTTCATTCAATGATAATTAAATTCGATTCCATTCAATGATTCCATTCAAGTCCATTCGATGATTCCATTGGAGTCCATTAAATGATTCCATTCGATTCCATTCGATGATGACTCCATTCGAGTCCATTCAATGATGATTCCATTAGATTCCATTCGATGATTCCTTTGTATTATATTCTTTATTTTACTTTGATTCTTTTTGATGGTGATTCCATTCAATTCCATTCGATGGTTCCTTTGTATTCCATTCTTTGTTTTACTTCGATTCTTTGGATGATGATTCCATTCGATTTCATTCGATGATCCCATTCGATTCTCTTCGATGATGATTCCATTTGATTCCATTTGAAAAAAATTCCATTCGATTCCATTGGATGATGATTACATTTGATTCTATTCAATGCCGATTCTATTCGGTTCCATTCGATGATGATTCCATTCGATTTCACTCCAAGAGTCCATTCGATTCAATTCCATGATGATTCCATTCGAGACCATTAGATGATTCCATTCAATTCAATTCAATGATTATTCCATTCAAGTCCATTGAATGATTCCATTCGATGATGACTCCATTCTTGTCCATTCAATGATGATTCCATTCGATTTCTTTTGATGATTCCTTTCTATTCCATTCTTTGTTTTACTTCAATTCTTTTTGATAATGATTCCATTCGATTCCATTCGATGATTCCTTTATATTCCATTCTTTGTTTTACTTCGATTCTTTTGATGGTGATTCCATTCGATTTCATTCGATGATCCCACTCGATTATCTTCGATGATGATTCCATTTGATTCCATTTGAAGAAAATTCCATTCGATTCCATTGGATGATGGTTGCATTCAATTCTATTGGATACCGATTCTATTCGGTTCCGTTCGATGATGATTCCATTCGATTTCACTTGATGATTCCATTCGATTCCATTCGATGATGATTTCATTCGAGACCATTCGTGATTCCATTCAATTCCATTCAATGATGATTCCATTCGAGTCCATTCGATGATTCCATTCAAAGCCATTCAATGATTCCATCTGATTTCATTCGATGATGATTCCATTCGAGTCCATTCGATGATTTCATTCCATCCCATTCCTTGATGATTCCATTCAAGCCCAGTCAATGATTGCATTCGAATCCATTTGATGATTCCATTCGATTCCATTCAGTGATGATTTCATTCGATTGTTTTCAATGATTCCATTCGATTCCATTCGATGAGGATTCCAAACAATTCCATTCATTGATTCTATTCGAATCCACTCGATGATGAGTCCATTCATTTCAATTACATGATGATTCCATTCGATTCAATTCGATGGTTTTTCCATTCAATTGCATTCGATATCAATTCCATTTGATTCCATTGGATGATGATTCCATTCGAGTCCATTCGATGATAATTCCATTCGATTGCATTCGATGATTCCATTCTATTCCATTCGATGATGATTCTATTCGCATCCATACGATGATTCCATTCAAGGCCATTTAATGATTCCATTGGGTTCATTTTGATGATGATTACATTGGATTCCATTCTATGATTCCATTCTATTCCATTCGATGATGATTCCATTTGATTCCATTCAATGATGGTTCCATTCGATTTCATTCGATGATTCTATTTGATTCCATTTGATGATTATTCAGTTATATTACATTGGATGGTTCCATTCGATTCCATTCGATGATGACTTCACTTGATTCCATTTGATGATGTTTTCACTCGATTCCATTTGATGATGATTCCATTCGATTCCATTCGATGATGGTTCCATTGGATTGCATTTGATAATTCTATTAGATTCCATTCGGTGATGATTAATGCTATTCCATTGGATGATTCCATTCGATTCCATTCGATGATGATTCCATTCGATTGCATTTGATGATTACTTCCATCGAGTCCATTCAATGATACCATTCCATTCCATTCCATTTGATGATGATTCTATTCAATTCCATTTGATGATGATTCCATTCGATTCTATTCGATGATTATTGCATTTGATTTCATTCGATGATTCTATTTTTTCCATTCGAAGATGATTCTATTCTATTCCATTTGATGATTCCATTCAATGCCATTCTATGATGATTCTATTCGATTCCATTTGTTGATGATTCCATTCGATTCCATTCGATAATGATTCCATTCGTGTCCATTCGATGACGATTCAATTCGATTCCATTCGATGATGATTCCATTCGAGCCCATTCGATAATTCAATGTGATTTCAGTCGATGACGATTACATTAGATTTTATTCGATCATTCCATTTGATTCCATTTGATGATATTCCATTCGAGTCCATTCAATGATTCCATTCAATTCTACTTGATGATGATTCCATTTGAGTAATTCCATTTGATTTCATTCAATAATGATTCCATTAGATTCCATTTGATGATACCATGCGATACCATTCCTTGATGATTCCATTCGTGTGCATTCAATTATACCATTTGATTCCATTTGATGATGGTTCCATTCGATTCCATTCGATGATTCCATTTGATTCCATTCGATGATGATTCCATTTGTGTCCATTTGATGATTCCATTCGAATCCTTTTGATGATTGTTTTCAATTACATTTGATGATGATTCCATTCGAATCCATTCGATGATTCCATTCAATTCCATTCGATGATGATTCCATTCGATTCCATTCGATGATGATTCCATTCGAGCCCATTCGATGACTCCACTCGATTCCATACGATGATTCCATTCGATGATGACTACATTCTATTCAATTCGATGATGATTCCATTCAGATCCATTTGATGATTCCATTGGATTCCATTCGATGGTGATTCCATTCTATTCCATTCAATGATGTTTCCATTCAGGTCCATTAGATTATTCCATTTGATTCCATTCGATGATGATTCCATTCTATTCCATTCGATGATGATTCCATTCGTGTCCATTAGAAGATTCCATTCTACTCCATTCAATGATGATTCCATTGATGTCCATTTGATATTTCTATTTGAGTCCATTCAATGATTGCCTTCAATTCCATTCGATAATGATTCCATTCGATTCCATTCAATGATTCCATTCGATACTCTTCTATGATTCCAGTCAATTCAATTTGATGTTGATTCCATTTGATTTCATTCGCTGATTCTATTCGATTCCATTTGATCATGATTCCATTCGATTCCTTTTGAAGATTCCATTTAATTACATTTGATGATGATTCCATTTGATTCCTTTCTATGATTCCATTCAATTCTATTCGATGATGATTCCATTCGAGTCCATTCAATGATTCCTTCTGATTCTATTTGATGATGGTTCCATTTGAGTCCATTCAATGGTGATTAATTTCGATTCCATTTGATGATTCCATTCGATTCCATTCAATGATGATTGCATTCTATTCCATTCGATGATTCCATTCGATTCCCATTCCAAGAAGATTCCATTCGATTCCATTCGATAATTCCATTCGATACCATCTGATGATTCCAATGGAATTCATTTGATGATGATTCCATTCGAGTCCATTCAATGATGCCATTCAATTCCATTCGATGATTCCAATCGATTCCATTCAATGATGATTCCATTCAAGTCCATCCGATGACTCTATTCGATTCCATTTTATAATGATTCCATTCGAGTCTATATGAGGATTCAATTCTAGTCCTTTTGATGATTCCATTCGATTCCATTCGATGATGATTCAGTTCGAGTCCATTCGACGCTTCCCTATGAGTCCATTTGATGATTCCATTCGAGTCCAAATGATGATTCCATTCAATTCTATTCTATAATGATTCCATATGATTCCATTCGATGATGATTCCATGTGATTCCATTCAATGATGATTCCTTTGAATTCCATTAGATCATGATTCATTTCAAGTGAATTCAATGATTCCACATGATTCCATTCGTTGATGATTCCAATGGAGTCCATTTGATGATTCCATTCAATTCCATTCAATGATGATTCCATTCGATTCCATTCATTGGCTATTGCATTCAATTCCATTAAATGATTCCATTCCATTCCATTCGACAATGATTCCATTTGATTCCATTCGATGATTCCATTCAATTCTATTCAATGATGATTCCATTCGATTCCATTTGATGATATTTGCATTCAATTCCATTCAATGATTCAATTTGATTCCATTCGATGATGATTCTGATCAATTCCATTAGATGGTTCCATTTGATTCCACTCGATAATGATTCCATTCGAGTCCATTCAATGATTCCATTCGAGCCCATTCAATAATTCCTTTGGAGTCCAATCGATGATTCCATTTGTTTCCATTCAAGGATTCCATTAGATTCCATTTGATCATTCCGTTAGAGTCTGTTCAATGATGATTCCATTCGAGTCCATTCGATGATTCCATTCGAGTCCATTCGATAATTCCATTTGAATCCAATTGATGATTGCTTTCAATTCTATTCGATGATGATTCCATTAGAGTTCATTCGATGATTCCATTCTATTTCATTCAATGATGATTCCATTCGTGTTCATTCGGTGATTCCACTCAATTTCATTCGATGATGATTCCTTCAGAGTCCATTCAATGATTCTATTCGATTTTATTCAATGATGATTACATTCGAGTGCATTCAATGATTCCCTTTGATTTCATTCGATGATGATTCCTTTCGAGTCCATTCAGTGATTCCATTTGATTCCATTCGATGATGATTCCATTTGAATCCATTCGACAATTACATTCAATTACATTGGATGACAATTCCATTCGAGTCCATTCGATGATTCCATTTGATTCCATTCGATGATGATTCCATTAGAGCCATTTGATGATTCTATTCAAATCCATTTGATGATTGCTTTCAGTTATATTCGATGACGATTCTATTCGAGTGCATTCAATGATTCCATTCGATTCCATTTGATGATGATTCCATTCGGGTCCATTAGATGATTCCATTCGATTCCACCCCATGAGGTTTCCATTCGAGTTCATTCCATGATTCCATTCTATTCCATTCTGCGATGATTACTTTCAAGTCCATTCAATGATTCCACTTGATTCCATACGATGATGACTACATTCAAATCAATTCGATGATTCCATACTATTCCATTGGATGATGATTCCATTCGAGTACATTAGATGATTCCATTCGATTCCATTTGATGATGATTCTATTCGTGTCCATTAGAAGATTCCATTCGATTCCATTCGATGATGATTGCATTCGGTTCCATTCGATGATTCCATATGATTTCATTCAAAGATGATTCCATTTGATTCCATCCGATAATTCCATTCCATTCCATTTGATGATTCCAGTGGATACCATTTGATGATGATTCCATTCGAGTCCATTCGATGATTCCATTTAATTCCGTTCGATGATGATTCCATTTGAGTGCATTCGATGATTCCAATCAATTCCATTCGATGATGATTCCATTCGAGTCCATCCGAAGAATCTATTCGATTCCATTCTATAATGATTCCGTTTGAGTCCATTTGATGATTCGATTCGATTCCTTTTGATGATTCCATTCGATTCCATTCGATGATGATTCCTTTCGATTCCCTTCGTTGATGATTACATTAGATTCCATGTGATGATATTTCCATTCGACTCCATTCAATGATGATTCCATTCGATTTCATTCAATGGTTCCATTCGATTCCATTCGAAGATTCCATTTGATGATGATTCCATTTGATTCCATTCGATGATTCCGTTTGATTCCATTTGATGATGAGTCATTCGATTCAATTCCATGATGATTCCATTTGATTCAATTCGATGATGTTTCCATTTGATTCCATTCTATGATGATTCCTTTGGATTCCATTAGACGATGACTCCATTCGAATCCATTTGATGATGATTCCATTCGATTTCATTCAATGCTACTATTTGATTCCATTTGATGATGATTCCATCTCATTCCCTTCAATGATTCCATTCAGTGATGATTCCATTCTATTCCATCTGATGAGGATTTCATTTGATTCCATTTGATGATGATTCCGTCTCATTCCCTTCAATGATTCCATTCAGTGATGATTCCATTCTATTCCATCTGATGAGGATTTCATTTGATTCCATTCGATGATGATTCCATTTGAGTCCATTCGATGATTCTATTCGATTCCACTCGATGATGATTCTATTTGAGTCCATTGGATGATTCCATTCGAGTCCATTCAATTATTCCTTTCAATTCCACTTGATGATTGTTCCATTCAATTCCATTAGATGATTCCATTCCATTCCATTCGATGATGATTCCATTCGAGTCCATGTGATGATTCCATTCGATTCTATTAGATGATAATTTCATTCAAGGCCATTCGATGATTGCATTCGAGTCCATTCGATGATTCCATTCGAGTCCATTTGATAATTCCATTCGATTCCATTTAATGATGATTCAATTTGAGGCCATTCGACGTTTCCATTCGAGTCCATTCAGTGATTCCCTGTGATTACAACCGATGAGGACTCCATTCGAGTCCATTCGATGATTCCATTAGGTTCCATTCGATGATGATTCCATTCGAGTCCATTCAAAGGTTCCTTTCGAGTCTGTTCAATGATTCCATTCGATTCCACTTGATGATGATTCCTTTCGAGTCCATTCGATGATTCCTTTCGAGTGCCTTCAATGATTCCATTCAATTCCATTCGATGATGATTCCATTCGAATCCATTCAGTGATTCCATTCTGTTGCATTTGATGATTCCATTCGGTTTCATTCGATGATGATTCCATTCGATTCCATTCGAAGATTCCATTCAATGATGATTCCATTCAATTCCATTCAATGATTCCATTCGATTCCATTTGATGATGAGCCATTTGATTCAATTCCATGATGATTCCATTTGATTCAATTCGATGATGTTTCCATTCGATTCCATTCGATGATGATTCTTTTGGATTCCATTAGATGATGATTCCATTCTACTCCATTTGATGATGATTCCATTCGAGTCCGTTCGATGATGATTCCTTTCGATTTCATTCGATGCTTCTATTTGATTCCATTCGATGATGATTCCATCTCCTTCCCTTCAATGATTCCATTCGATTCCATTCAGTGATGATTCCATTCTATTCCATCTGATGAGAATTTCATTTGATTCCATTCGATGATGATTCCATTCGAGTCCATTCGATGATTCTATTCGATTCCACTCGATGATGATTCTATTTGAGTCCATTCGATGATTCCCTTCGAGTCCATTCAATTATTCCTTTCAATTCCACTTGATGACAATTCCATGCGATTCCATTAAATGATTCCATTCCATTCCATTCGAAGATGATTCCATTCGAGTCGATGTGATGATTCCATTCGATTCTATTCGATGATAATTTCATTCGAGGCCATTCGGTGATTGCATTTAAGTCCATTTGATGATTTCATTCGTTTCCACTCGATGATGATTGCTTTCGAGTCCATTCGATGATTCCATTTGAGTCCATTCGATAATTCCATTCGATTCCATTTAATGATGATTCAATTTGAGGCCATTCGATGTTTCCATTCGAGTCCATTCAGTGATTCCCTGTGATTACAATCAATGAGGACTCCATTCGAGTCCATTCGATGATTCCATTAGTTTCCATTCAATGATGATTTCATTCGAGTCCATTCAAAGATTCCTTTTGAGTCCGTTCGATGATTCCATTCGATTCCACTTGATGATGATTCCTTTCGAGTCCATTCAATGATTCCTTTCGAGTGCCTTCAATGATTCCATTCAATTCCATTCGATGATGATTCCATTCGAATCCTTTCAGTGATTCCATTCTGTTGCATTCAATGATACCATTTGGTTTCATACGACGATGATTCCATTCAAGTCCATTTGATTATTCCATTTGATTCCATTCGAGGACGATTCCATTCGAGTCCATTCGATGATTCCATTCGATTCCATTCCATGGTGATTCCATTAGATTCAATTCGATGATGATTCCATTCTATTCCTTTTGATGATGATTCCACTCGAGTCCATTCAATGATTCCTTTTGATTCCATTCGATGGTGATTCCATTCGATTCCATTTGATGATTCCATTCGATTCCATTTGATGATGATTCCATTCGGGTCCATTCGATTATTCCATTCAAGTACATTCAATGATTCCACTGGATTCCATTCGATGATTATTCTATTGGAGTCCATTCGGTGATTCCTTTAGATTTAACTTGCAGATGACTCCTTTCAATTCCATTCCATGATGCCATTCGATTCAATTCGTTGGTGATTCCATTCGATTTCATTTGATGATTCCATTCGATTCAATTTGATGATGATTCCATTCGATTCCTTTTGATGATTCCATATGATTCAATTCGATGATGTTTCCATTCATGTCCATTTGATGATTCCATTCTTTTCCATTCAATGATGATTCCATTAGAGACCATTCGATCATTCTGTTAGAGTCCGTTCGATGATGATTCCATTCGGGTCCATTCAATGATTCCATTTGAGCCCATTCAAGAATTCCATTAGAATCCATTCAATTATTGCTTTCAATTCCGTTCCATGATGATTCCATTCGAGTGAATTCGATGATTCCATTCGAGTGAATTCGATGATGATTCCATTCTTGTCCATTCGGTGATTCCACTCAATTTCATTTGATGATGATTCCTTTCTAGTCCATTCAATGATTCCATTTGATTCCATTCGATGATGATTCCGTTGGAGTGCATTCAATGATTCCCTTTGATTCCATTCGATGATGATTCCATTCGACTCCATTCAGTGATTCCATTTGATTCCATTCAATGATTATTCCATTCGAGTCCATTCTACGATTACATTCGATTCCATTTGATGACGATTCCACTTGAGTCCATTCGAAGATTCCATTCGAGTCCCTTCATTGATTCCATCTGATTCCATTTGATGATGATTCCATGTGAGTCCATTCGTTGATTCCATTCGATTCCATTTGATGATTCCACTGGAGTCCATTCAATTATTCCATTCAAGTCCATTTGATGATTCCATTCAATTCCATTCGATGATAATTCAATTCGAGTCCATTCAATGATGATTTCATTCGATTCCATTCGATGATTCTGCTCAATTCCATTCTATGATTCCCTTTGACTCCTTTTGTTGATGATTCCATTCCATTCCATTCAATGATTCCATTCGATTTTATTCCATGATGATTCCTTTTGATTCCATTCGATGATGATTCATTCGATTCCAATCGATGATGATTCCATCAGATTCCATTCGATGACGACTGCATTCGGTTCCATTCGATGATGATTCCAACGGATTCCATTCGATTTCTCCATTTGATTCATTTCATTGATGATTCCATTAGATTCCATTAGATGATGATGCCATTAGATTCCCTTCGATGATGATGATTCCATTCCATTCCATTTGATGACAATTCCATTCGATTCCATTCGATGATTCCACTTGATTCCATTCGATGATGATTCCATTCGTGTCCATTCAATGATTCCGTTCGATTCCGTCCGATGATGATTCCATTCAAGTCCATTCAATGATTCCATTGAAGTCCATTTGATGATTCCTTTCAATTCCATTCGATGATGATTCCATTCGAGTCAATTCGAAGATTCCATTCGATTCCATTTGATGATGATTCCATTCGTGTCCATTCAATGATTCCATTTGATTTCATTCGATGATGATTTCATTGAATTGCATTCAATGATTCCATTCTATTCCATTCGATGATGATTCCATTCGAGTCCATTTGATGATTCCATTGGGTTCAATTCGATGATGATTAAATTGGACTCCATTCGATTTCTCCATTCGATTGCATTCGTTGATGATTCCATTCGATTCCATTCAATTTCATTCAATGATTCTATTCAATTCCATTCGATGATGATTCATTTCTATTACATTGGATGATTCTAATCAATTCCATTCGATGATGATTCCATTAGATTCCATTCGATGATGATTCCATTCAATTGCATTCAATGATGATTCCATTCGAGTGCATTCGAAGATTCCATTTGATGCCATTCGATGATGATTCCATTCGAGTCTATTTGATGATTCCTTTCAATTCCATTCAATTTTTCCCTTAGATTCCATTCATTGATGATTCTATTTGATGCCATTCGATGATTACATTCGATTTCATTTGATGATGATTCCATTCGAGTCCACTCAATGATTCCATTCGATTCCATTCGATGATGATTCCATTTGATTCCATTCAATGATGATTCCATTCGATTCCATTGGATGATGATTCCATTCGATTTCATTCGATGATTCCATTCGATTCCAATCAATGATGATTCAATTCTACTCCATTGGATGATTCCATTCCATTCCTTTTGATGATGATTCCATTCAATTCCCTTCAATGATGATTCCATTCGACTGCATTCAATGATGATTTCAATTGAGTCCATTCGAAGATTCCATTCGATTCCATTCGGTGATTATTCCATTTGAGTCCATTCGATGATTCCATTCCATTCCATTCGATGATGATTCCATTCGATTCCCTTCAATGATTCCTTTCGATTCCATTTGATGATGATTCCATTCAGGTCCATTCGATGATTCCATTAGATTGCATTTGATGATGATTCCATTCGAGTCCATTCGATGATTCCATTCGATTCCATTCGATAATGATTCCACTCGAGTCCATTCTGTAATTCCATTTGGTTCCATTCGATTAATCCCTTAGATTCCATTCACTGATGATTCAATTCGATGCCAATCAATGGTTCCATCTGATTCCATAGAATGATGTTTCCATTCGAGTCCATTCGATGATACCATTCGATTCCACTCAATGATGATTTCATTCATGTCCATTCGATGTTTCCATTCGATTCCATTCGATGATGATTCCATTCGAGTCCATTCAATGATTCCTTTCTATTCCATGCGATGATGATTCAATTCGAAACCTTTCGATGATTCCATTCAATTCCGTTCAATGACTCTGTTCCATCCCATTCGATGATTCCCTTCGATTCCATTCGATGATCATTCCATTCAATTCTGTGATCCCTTTGGATTCCATTCTATGTTGATTCCATTCGATTCCACTCCATGATGATTCCATTCGTTTCCATGTGCTAATGATTCCATTAGATTCCATTCGAGGATTCCATGCAATTCCACTTGTTGAAGATTCTATTTGATTCCATTCAATGATTATTCCATTCGATTCCATTCGATGATGATTCCATTCGTTTCCATTCGATGATGATTCCATTCAATTTTTTTCGGTGATTCTATTTAATTCTGTTTGATGATGATTCCATTCTATTCCATTCGATGATTCCATTCAATTCCATTATATTATGATTCTATTTGAATCCATTTGATGATGATTCCTTTTGATTCCATTCAATGATGATTCCATTCATGTCCATTCGATGATTCCACTCAATTCCATTCAATGATGATTCCATACGTGTCTGTTAGATCAATCCATTTGATTCCATTGGATGATGATTCCATTCGATGCCATTCCATGATTCCATTCAATTTCATTTGATGATGATTCCATTCGATTCCATTCGATGATTCCATTTGATGATGATTTCAGTCAATGCCATCCGATGATTCCATTCAATTCCATTCGATGATGATTCCATTCGAGTCCATTCAATGATTGCATTTGATTCCATTCGATGATGATTGCATTCGAGTCCATTCGATGATTCCATTTGATTTCATTCAATGATGATTCCATTCGATGACATTCGATGATTCCATTCGATTCCATTCAATGATGATTTCGTTCGTGTTCATTCGATCATTCCATTTGATTCCATTTGATGATGATTCCATTTGATTCCATTTGATGATGATTCCATTCGGTTACATTTGATTATGATTCCATTGGATTCCATTCAATAATTCCAATTGATTCCATTCATTGATGATTCCGTTCGATTACATTTGATGATGGTTCCATTCAATTCCATTCATTGATGATTCCATTAGATTCCAATCGATGATGATTCCATTCGACCCCACTAGATGATGATTCCATTCAATTTCATTCGATGATTCTACTCGTTTCCATTCGATGATGATTCCATTCTATTCCATTGGATGATTCCATTCGATGCCATTCGATGATTACATTCGATTCCATTTGATGATTCCATTCGATTCCATTCAACGATGATACAATTCGATTCCATTCAATGATGATTCCATTCTTGTACATTTGATGATTCCATCTGATTGCATTCGATGATGATTACATTCAAGTACATTAGATGATTACATTTGATTTCATTTGATGATGATTCCATTAGATGCCATTCGATGATTCCATTCGATTCCATTCATAGATGATTCCATTCGAAGATTCCATTTGATTCCATTCGATGATGATTCCATTCGACTTCATTCAATGATTACCTTTGATTTCATTGGATGATGATTCCATTCGAGTCCATTCAATGATTCCATAAGATTCCATTCGATGATGATTCCATTCGATTCCATTCGATGATTCCATTCGAGTCCATTTGATGATTCCATTTAAGTACATTCGATGACACCATTCGATTTCATTCAATGGTGATTCCAATCGAGTCCATTCGATGATGATTCCATTCGAGTTCATTCAATGATTCCATTCGATGTCATTTGTTGATGATTCCATTGTATTCCATTCGATGATTCCATTCGATTCCATTTGTTGATAATTCCATTCGATTCCATTCGATGATGATTCTATTCCATTCCCTTCGTTGATGATTCCATTAGATTCCATTCGATGATGATTCCATTTGACTCCATTCGATGATGATTCCATTCGATTTCATTCTATGATTCCATTTGATACCATGAGATGATGATGCTGATCAATTCCATTCAGTGATGCCATTCGATTCCATTTGATGATTCCATTCCATTCCATTCGATAATGATTCCATTCAAGTTCATTCAATGATTCCATTCAAGCCCATTCGATAATTCCATTTGAGTCCAATTGATGATTCCATTCGTTTCCATTCAATGATTCCATTCGAGACCATTCGATCATTCCATTTGAATAAATTGGTTGATGATTCCAATTCGATTCCATTAGATGATGATTATATTAGATAAAATTTGATGATGATTCCATTCGATTCCATTCGAAGACGATTACATTAGATTCCAATCAATGATGATTCCATTCGATTCCATTCGATGATTACATTCTATTTCATTAGATGATAATTCCATTCGAGTCCATTCGATGATTGCGTTCGATTCCATTCGATGATGACTGCATTCAGTTCCATTCAATGATGATTCCAGCGGATTCCATTTGATGACTCCATTCGATTCCATTCATTGATGATTCCATTAGATTCCATTAGATGATAATGCCACTAGATTACTTTCGATGATGTTTCCATTAGATTCAATTTGATGATGATTTCATTCGATTCCATTCGATGATGATTCCATTTTCTCCATTCGATCATGATTCCATTTGATGACTCCATTCGACTCCATTCGATAATGATTCATTCTTGTCCATTTCATGATTCCATTTGATTCTATTTGATGATGATTCTATTCGATGCAATTCGATGATTCCTTTCAATTCCATTCAATGATGATTCTATTCGATTCCATTCAATGATTCCATTTGAAACCATTCGATGATGATTCCATTGGAGTCCATTCGATCATTCAATTCCATTCCATTTGATGATGATTCCATTCGAGTCCCTTCAATGATGGTTCCATTCGATTCCATTCAATGATTCCATTTGAATAGATTTGATGATGATTCCATTGGATTCCATTCGATGATTCCATTCGTTTGCATTTGATGATGATTCCATTTGAGCCCATTCAATGATTCCTTTCTATTCTATTCGAAGATGATTCCATTTGAGTCCATTTAATGGTGATTCCATTAGATTAAATTTGATGATTACAATTCGTTCCTTTAGATGATGATTTCACTCGATTCCATTTGATGATGATTTCATCCGATTCCATTCGATGATGATTCCATTTGATTCCATTTGATGATGATTCCATTCGATTCCATTCGATGATGACTCTGTTCGGTTACATTTGATGATGAATCCATTCGATTCCTTTCAATGATGATTCCATTAGATTCGATTCGATGATGATTACCTTCGATTCCATTCGATGATGATGCCATTTGATTCCATTCAATGACGATTCCATTTGATTTCAATAGATGATTCTATTTGATTCCATTTGATGATGATTCCATTCTCTTCCATTCGATGATTCCATTCAATTCCATTCGATGATGATTCTATTCAATTCCTTTTGATGATGATTACATTTGATTCCTTTTGGTGATGATTCCATTTGTGTTCATTCGATGTTTCCATTGGATTCCATTTGATGATGGTTCCATTCGAGTCCGTTAGATGATTCCATTAGTTTCCATTCGATGATGATTCCATTCGGAGCCATTCGATTATTACATTTTATTTCATTTGATGATGATTCCATTGATTTCGTTTGATGATTCGATTCCATTCCATTCGATGATGATTCCATTCGAGTCCATTTGATTCCATTCAATTCCATTAGATGATGACTCCGTTCAAGTCCATTCGAAGATTCAATGCAATTTCTTTCGATTAAGATTACATTCGATTCTATTTGATGATTCCATTTGATTCTATTTGATGATGATTCCATTCAAGTCCATTCGATGATTCCATTCAATTCTATTTGATGATGATTCCATTTTTGTCCATTAGATGATTCCATTCGATTTTGTTCGATGATGATTCCATTCGATTGCATTCGATGATTCCATCACTTCCTTTCTGTGATGATTAAATTAGAGTCCATTCGACACTTCCATTCGAGTCCATTTGATGATTCCATTCGAGTCCAATTTTTCATTCCATTCAATTCCATTCGATGATGATTCCGTATGATTCCATTTGATGATGATTCCTTGTGATTCCATTCAATGATGATTCCATTTGAGTCCATTCGATTATTCCTTTCAATTCCATTCGATGATGATTCCATTCGATTCCATTTATTGGTGATTCCATTCATTTCCATTCATTGATTCCATTCCATTCCATTCAACAATGATTCCACTCGATTCCACTCGAGGATTCCACTCGATTAAAGTTGACGATGATTCCATTCATTTCTATTTGATGATTATGTTTGATTCTACTCGATGATGATTCCATTGGATTCCATTCGATGATGATTGCGTTTGATTCCATGAGATGATTCCATTCGATTCCATTTGATGATGATTCCATTCGATTCCATTTGATGATTCCATTGGATTCCATTTGAGGATTCCACTCGATTCCATTCGATGATGATACCATTCTAGTCCATTCAATGATTCCATTCGAGTCTATTGGATGATTCCATTCGATTCCATTCAATGATGATTCCATTAGAGTCCATTCGATGATTCCATTCAATTCCGTTCAATTCCATATGATGATGATTCCATTAGAGTTCATTCGATGATTCCATTTGATTCCATTTGATGATGTTTCCATTCAAGTCAATTATATGATTCCATTAGAGTCCATTCGATGATTCCATTTGATTCCATTCAATTCCATTCGATGATGATTCCTTAAGAGTCCATTTGATGATTCCATTCGATTCCATTCGATGATGTTTCCATGCGAGTCCATTCAATGATTTCATTTGAGTGCATTCGACGATTCTGTTCGATTCTATTCAATGATGATTCCATTCGAGTCCCTTCGTTGATTCCATTCAATTCCATTATATGATGACTGAATTCGGTTTCATTCGATGACGATTCCAATGGATTCCATTTGATTTCTCCATTCGATTCCATTCCTTGCTGATACCATTCGATTTCATTAGATGATGACTCCATTAGATTCCATTCGATGATGATTTCTTTAGATTACATTCAATGACGATTCCATTCGATTCTATTCAATGATTAATTCTGTTCAATTCAATTCGATGATTCCATTCGATTCCATTAATGATGATTCCCTTTGATTCCTGTCAATAAGGAGTCCATTCACTTCCATTCGATGTTTCCATTCGATTCCATTCGATGATGATTCCATTCATGTCCGTTAGATCATTCCATTCAAATCCATTTGATGATTCCATTCCATTCCATTCGATGATGATTCCAATCAAGTCTATTCGATGATTCCACTTGATTCCATTCAATGATGGTTCCATTCGTGTCCATTCGATAATTCAATAGGATTTCATTCGATGATGACTACAATCAATTCTATTCGATGATTCCATTAGATTCCATTTGATGATGATTCCATTTGAGTCCATTCGATGATTCCATTCAATTCTATTCGATGATGATTCCATTCGAGTCATTCGATGGTTCCATTCAAATACATTCGATGATGATTCCATTCCATTCCACTCGATGATTCCATTCTATTCCATTCGATGACGATTCCTTTTGAGTCCATTCGATGATTCCATTTGATTTCATTCGATGATTATTCCATTTCAGTCCATTTGGTGATTCCATTCAAATGCATTTGATTGTTTTCGATTTTATTCAATGATGATTCCATTCGAGTCCATTCAATGATTCCTTTTGATTCCATTCTATGATGATTCCATTCGTGTCCATTAGATGATTACATTTGATTCCATTTGATGATTATTCCATTTGATTCCATTCGATGATTCCATTTGATTCCATTTTCCAATGGTTATATATGAGTCCATTCGATGATTCCACTCGATTCTATACGATGATTATTCCATTTGATTCCATTTGATGATTCCATTCTATTCCATTTGATGATGATTCCATTCGTGTACAATAGATGATTCCATTTGATTGCATTCGATGATGATTCTATTCCTGTCCATTCGATGATTCCATTTAATTCCATTCCATGATGATTCCATTCTATTCCATTCAATGATGATTCCATTCGGATCTATTTGATGATTCCATTGGATTCCATTTGATGCTGATTCCATTCTATTCCATTCAATGATGATTCCATTCGGGTCCATTCAATGATTCTATTCGATTCCATTTGATAATTCCATTCAATTCCATTTGATGATGATTCCATTCACGACCATTCGATGATTCCATTCAATTCATTCGAAGATGATTCCATTCAATTCCATTCGATGATTCCATTAGATCCCATTTGATGATGATTCCATTCGATTCCATTTGATGATGATTAAATGCAATTCCATTCGTTGATGGTTGCATTTGAATCCATTCAGTGATTGCAATCGAATCCATTCGATAATTCCTTTCGATTCCCTTCAAAGTTGATTCCATTCGAGTCCATTCCATAATTCCATTCAATTCCATTCTCTGATGATTCCATTCGAGTCCACTCGATGATTTCATTCAATTCCAGTCAAAGATGATTCCATTCGATTCCATTCCATGATGATTGCATTCGATTCCATTTGATGATTCCCTTCTATTCCATTCAAAGTTGATTCCATTCGAGTCCATTCAATAATTCCATTCGATTCCTTTCTCCGATGATTCCATTTGAGTCCATTCGATGATTCAATTCAATTCCAGTTGATGATGATTCCATGCGATTACATTCAATGATGATTCCTTTCAGGTCAATTCGATGATTATTCCATTGGATTCCATTTACTGCTTCCATTAGATAACATTCGAGGATGATTGCATTCGTGTCCATACGATGATTCCATTTGAGTCCATTTGATGATTCCATTCGATTCCATTCGATGATGACTGCACTCGGTTCCATTCATTGATGATTCCAACGGATTCCATTTGATGACTCCATTCGATTCCATTCATTGATGATTCCATTTGATTCCTTTAGATGATGATTCCATTCAACGATGATTCCGTTTGAGTCCATTCGATGATTACATTCAATTCCATTCAAAGATTTCTTTTGATTCCACTCGATGTTGATTCCATATGAGTATAATTGATGATTCCATTTGAGTGCATTCCATGATTCCTTTCGATTCCATCTGATGATGTTTCCATTCAAGTCCATTCGATGATTCCATTTGATTTCACTCGATGATGATTCCATTTGATTCCTTTCGATGATTTCATTCGATTCCATTCGGTGATGATTCCATTCGAGTCCATTCGATGATTCCATTCGAGTCCTTTTGATATTCCACTTTTTTCTATTCGATGATGATTCCATTGGATTCCATTTGTTGATGTTTCCATTTGATTCCATTCGATGATGATTCCATTCAATTGCATTCGATGATAATTCCATTTGATTCCATTAGATGATGATTCCATTCGATTTCATTCAATGATTCTATTTGATTCCATTCGATGATGATTCTATTCTATTTCATTCGATGATTCCATTCGATTCCATTAGATGATGATTCCATTCGATTCCATTCGATGATGACTCCATTCGATTGCATTCGATGATTATTCCATTCGTGTCCAGTCGACAATTCCATTCGATTCCATTCGATGATGATTCCATTCAAGTCCATTCGATGATTCCATTCGATTCAATTCAATGATGATTCCATTCGATTCCATTCGATAATTCCATTCGATTCCATTCAATGATTCCAATGGATTCCATTTGATGATGATTCCATTGTTGTCCATTCGATGATTCCATTCAATTCCACTGGATGATGATTCCATTCGAGTGCATTCGATGTTTCCAATCAATTCCATTCAATGATGATTCCATTCGATTCCATCCGATGACTCTATTCGATTCCATTCTATAATGATTCCCTTCGAGTCCATTTGATGATTCAATTCGAGTCCTTTCAATGATTCCATTTGATTTCATTCGATGATGATTCCGTTCGAGTCCATTTGACACTTCCCTTCGAGTCCATTTGATGATTCCATTCGAGTCCAATTGATGATTCCATTCAATTCTATTCTGTGATGTTTCCGTATGATTCCATTCGATGATGATTCCATGTGATTCCTTTCAATGATGATTCCTTTTGATTCCATTTGATTATGATTCATTTCCAGTTCATTCGACGATTCCACATGATTCCATTCGATGATGATTCCATTTGAGTCCATTCGATGATTCCTTTCGATTCCATTAGAAGATGATTCCATTCGATTCTGTTCATTGGTAATCCCATTCAATTCCATTCAATGATTCCATTCCATTCCAATCAACAATAATTCCATTTGATTCCATTCGATGATTCCATTCGATTCTATTTGATTCTATTCGATGATGATTCCATTCGATTCCATTCGATGATGATTGCCTTCAATTCCATTCAATGATTCCATTCGATTCCATTCAATGACGATTCGGTTTGATTCCATTTGAGTCAATTTGATGATTCCATTTGATTCCATTTGATGATGATTCCATTTGAGTCCATTCGATGATTCCATTCGAGTCCATTCAATGATACCATTCGAGTCCATTTGATGATTCCATTTGATGATAATTCCATTCGTGTCCATTCGATGATTCCATTCGAGTCCATTCGATAATTCCATTTGATTCCTTTCGATGAATCCATTCGATTCTATTTGATGTTTCCATTTGAGTCCATTTGTTCATTCCATTCGTGTCCATTCGATGATTCCATTCGATTCCATTTGATGATGATCCCATTGGATTCCATTCGATGATGATTCCATTCGAGTCCATTTGATGATTCCGTTTGATTTCATTAAATGATGATTCCATTTGAGTCCATTCGATGGTTCCATTCTATTCCATTCGATGAGGATTCCCTTCAAATCCATTTGATGATTTTATTCAAGTCCATTCAGTGATTGCTTTCGATTCCATTTGATGATGATTCTCTTTGATTCCATTTGATGATGATTCCATTCGATGTCATTCTATGATTCCATTCGATTCCATGCGATGTTGATTGTATTTGATTCCATTCGATTATTCTATTCGATTATTTTTGATGATGATTCCATTCGATTCCATTCAGTGATTCCAGTTGATTACATTTGATGATGATTCCTTTCTATTCTATTCGATGATTCCATTTGATTCCAATCGATGGTGATTCCATTCGAGTCCATTCAATGGTTATTCTATTTGATTCCATTAGATGATTCCATTCGATGATGATTGCATTCGATTCCATTTGATGATTCCCTTCGATTCCATTCAAAGTTGATTCCATCGAGTCCATTCAATAATTCCATTCGATTCCATTCTCTGATGATTCCATTTGAGTCCGTTCGATGATTCCATTCAATTCCAGTTGATGATGATTCCATTGGAGTCCATTCAATGATATCATTGGATTGCATTTGATGATGATTCCTTTTGAGCCCATTCTATGATGATTCCATTCGAGTCCTTTCAATGATGATTACATTCGGGTCCATTCAATGATATTTCCATTCGAGTCTATTCGATGATTCCATGGGATTCCATTTGATGGTGACTCCTTTCGGTTCCATTCGATGATGATTCTATTTGAATCCATTTGATGATTCCTCTCGATTCCATTCGATGACTCTGTTCAATCCCATTTGATGTTTCCCTTTGATTGCCTTAGATGATCATTCCATTTGATTCAATTTGGTGATTCCATTCGATGGTGATTCCATTCGATTCCATTTAATGATGATTCCATTCGATTCCATTTGATGATGATTCCGTTCAATTCGATTCGATGATGATTCCACTCAAGCCCATTCGATTATTCCATTCGAGTCCATTCGATGATTCCATTACATTCCATTCGATGATGATTCCATTCGATGCCATTCGATGATTCCGTTCGATTCAATTCAATGATCATTCCATTCATGTTCATTCGATGATTCCTTTGGATTCCATTTAATGATGAGTCCATTCGAGTCCATTCCATGATTCCATTCAATTCCATTCACTGATGATTCCATCCGAATCCATTCGATGATTCCATTTGATTCCCTTCAATGATTCCATTTGATCCCATTTGATGATTCCCTTCGATTCCATTCGATGATCTTTCCATTCGATTCAATTCGATGATTCCATTTGATTCCATTCAATGATGATTCCATTCGATTCAATTCGATGATGTTTCCATTCGATTCCATTCGATTATGAGTCCATTCGATTCCATTTGATGATTACTCCGTTTGGTTCCATTTAATGATGATTTCATTCAGTTCCATTTGATGATGATTCCTTTAGATTCCATTAGATGATTCCATTTGATTACATTTATTGATGACTCCATTTGATTCCATTCAATGATGAATCCATTCGATTCCATTTGATGATGATTCCATGCGATTCCATTCAATGATGATTCCATTTGATTCCATTCGATGATGATTCCATTTGATTACATTCAATGATGATTCCATTTGATTCCATTCAATGATGATTCCATTTGATTTCATTTGATGATGATTCCTTTCGAGTCCATTCGATGATGATTCCATTCATGTCCATTCGATGATGACGCTTTTTGATTCCATTCAATGATGACTCCATTCGATTCCATTTTATGAAGATTCCATTTGATTCCATTCGATGATGATTCCATTCAAGTCCATTGGATGATGATGCCTTTCGATTCCATTCAAGTCCATTGGATGATGATGCCTTTCGATTCCATTCAATGATGACTCCATTTGATTCCATTTGATGATGATTCCATTTGATTCCATTCGATGATAATTCCTTTCTACTCCATTCGATGATGATTCCATTCCATTCCATTCCACTACATTCCATTGCATCCGATTCCATTCCACTGCATTCCACTCCTCTCCTCTCCACTCCACTACACTCCATTGTATTCCATTCCATTCTATTGCACTGCTTTCCATTCCATTCCTTTCTTTCAAGAGTGTCTCACTCTGTCACCCATCCTGTAGCACAATGGCACAATCTCATCTCCGATTCCATTCCATTCCTCTCCATTCAATTCCATTCGATTCAATTCCATTCAATTCCATTGCATTCCATTCTATTCCATTCCTTTCCATTCCATTCGAAAAAGAAAAAGAGTTGCAAAGTCATACTCACTTTTCTGCTCTTGTCAGACAATTAAGGGTTCTTTGAATACTTCAGCCCTAATAATTTTCTTTTTATCATACATATTGCAGTGCTTATCTAATTTTAAATATCTTTTTGTTTCAACACCCAGTTTCTTATTTGTTCTATATGTATGTTTACAATATATTTTACTCTGTGTTCATTCTTTGATTTCAGAACTTCAACTTTTCTGAAGCATATTTTCAGAGTTTCTCTTTAGTTTCTTTAGTGGAATTCTGCTGGTGGCATTTTGTTTTTTGTCTCTAAATATGTTATTTAGCCATAGGTTGATGAATATTTTTCTTTGTTTGGAAATTCAGAATGGTATTATTATTCTTAACAAATAATATTATTTATTTTACCTTTCATGCTTTCAGATTTCAATATGATTAAAAGTAATTTCATTTTTCTAGTGCTAATTGAAATTTTTTTCCCTTCCTGGTTGTTTACTATTTCTCTGGGAGATACATAGGTGTAGGTTTATCTCCATTGTAGCTTGCTTAGCATGCATGGAATTCTTGAATATGCAGATTAGTGTCTTACAAGTCTAGGGAACTTTCAGCCAAAATACCATCACATATTGTCCATTCCCAGTTCCCTTGTTCTATGAGAACACTCCCTAAACACATGCTACAGTTTCTTACTGTATCTTCCATGTCTCTTCATCATTCTCTCCACATTTTACATTTTTTAAAATTTTCTGTAATGAATTCTGAAATATTTATGAACTCTCACCATGGCCATGTCTAATCTGATGAGTTCATTTTTGAGTTTTTAATTTAAAATAAGTATATTTTATACAAACTACTTTTCAAATTTGCTACATGAAATTTTTAGTCTCCTAACAATATATTCATTTTTTAAAAAATTTTTTGAAAGCAAATGTGCTTTATAATCTAACAGTGATATTTCTACTAATGAACCTTTGTGGATCTGTTTGTACTCTTTTTCTGCTTTCCTTTCAAATGGTGGAATATCATTTCCTTGCATACTTAGATGCCTTTGAATGACAAATATTTATTTTTCTCTGAAAATTATTTTTGTGCACTTTTGCGGATTAGTAAGTAGAAAATTTGCCAAAGAGAATTTAATTTTTTGTGATTCTACTAAAGGCACCACCATTCTGGGACCACATTATGTTAATTCTTGGCCTAAAGGTGTTTGGACGTATATTTGGACTGCACATTTAAACAATTTTTAAATTAGTTGCTGTAAATCATTAACGATTGAGTTTCTTTAAATCTGTCCAATCTCAAGTCATTTTTATTTGCCATTTCCAGGGAATGTGAAATGGGACTAATTTACCTCTGATTCTTCTTTATACTGAGGATAGAAATTTTGGTCCTAGCTTTAGGGAGGAGCTCCTGTGTGATGCCCTATCTTGGGGAAAACTATGTATTTCTTTACTGTCCTATGTGATGTATGACAGTAGGAATCTGCACTCATTCATTTTGCTACATGTGCGTAGGGCAAAATCAGTTTTGGTGTTTAGTTATATTTTGTCTGCTACCTGCATTCCCATGGTTTTGATCTTATATTTTACTTTTATTTGTGAACATACCAGTGCTTCAAATTTTTTCCAGTAATATATTCAACTATATTATGAGAAAGAGAAAAATGTTGATAAAACACAAATTTCATGTTTTCCTTCTCTAATTGGCTTTTACTTAAAAATACAGGTAAAATTTATTTGTGATTTTTGCTATTTCTGTTTTGCTATTCTCTGTTTGTCTATGTCTTCTCCACATAGACATAATTAGGGAATTTTGTACACTCTTGTGCCAACTGCTTTGACAGTAACAAAATGTATTTCTCGAACTCCTAGGTATAAAATTCAAGTATCCACAATTTAAATTCTTTTTCCCTCACTTCTATTATGTTTCCAGTCTCAATAGAAATCGATGCCAATCCAGAAATACAAGCATTATTCTAATACTTCTCACACATTACAGGTATAGATTAAATTTTCTAGATCTCCTTAAATACTATCATTTTTCACTACTTGTATCTTAACTGTTGAGTTCAACATTTTCTATAATATTAATATGTTGTGAAAATTTCCTTACATTATTATTTGTCCCAAGTTCAAGGTTTTGCAGTCTCTACCTCACCCTGTGAAGCATAAACATTGTACTATGCTGTACAAATATTACATAGTTCATGTGCTTAGAGATTTCACAATTTTTATTTGGTTGACAATAGCTAATGTTTTCTTCTTCATTTTCTATTTCCTGATTTTTCCTTATTTAGTATATGCTACATTATCTTAAAAATAAGAAAGTTTTACAAACTAAAGCAAAAGAAACAGTAGGAAAAAAATGCACAAATAAAATATATAAACATACAATTAGATGTACCATGTACCCTTCAAATTTATTTAGACATTTCATTGTAGTACAATTTTAATTAAAGTCTGTGTATTGTCTGCCATCGTCTTAGTATTTTTTATATAACAAACTGTAAATCAAAAAGCCTCAACGTCATTATAAACTATCTTGGCAGAGGTTGATGTCCAAGGAATAATTTCTCTCCCAAATTATGTCAATCAGAATTTCACTCTACCATAATTCTTTTAATCAGTTTCAGAGGAAACATAAATTTCAAAATTGTTCAAGGTAGTTGTTGTTGTTCAAGTACATTTTGACAGGTGTAAAACTGTAGACAGACTGATATAAACATATTCTAATTGACACAAAAGTATATGGGACGTATTTTAAAATCTAGACTTTAAAATGTCGTATCAACGTACACATGTTCTCCTTGTGAAATAATTGCTTTTTATTCTCTGGAAAGAATAATTTAATCTTTAAACCTTCAATTCACTGTTAAAAACAAAATATTACATAAGGATATGCTTATAAAAATAATTGCAACTAGCTTTTCAATTCAGAAATATATGTGAAAAATCATCAAGCATCCAATGGATTTCAAGGAGAAATGGGTTAGTAATTTATTCCATATGTCTCAATTTTCCCTAGATTCAAGACTTCCTTTAGAATAATTGTAGGCGTTTAAGAAACCATGTAAACTAAAAAGAAGAAATTGTGACACTGCCGCTTAGGTTTTTTAAATCTTTGGACATGAATCAATATACTTTTTAATTTTATCTTACTTAGACATTGTGAGTTCACCATTTTCCTGTCAGTATAGCATCCAAGCTGATTATCATAGATCACAAGTTACACTATCAACTGTGTTCTGAGACTATAAAAAATTAAATGAATGTATTTCTTTGGGTATTCTTAAAGCAGGAGTGAGGACACAGTGAAAGTGAGACAAGGAAGAGAGAACAAAATAAAACAGGAAAGATAGAAAAGCCAGTACCACACGTGTTAAGAGGCAAGTTCCTGTGTTAGATATCTGGGCTTAATTCTATGGGAAGCTATGTGGAACATGCCTCAGAATTACATCACTGAATCCAGGGAGATTCTTCTTAGTTACCCTCACCTTTTCTTCCCACTTCATGCCCAGTATCAAGCTCCCGTGCTGCTAGAGAAAGTCCTCAGCTAGAAACAGCTGCAAATTCTGGAGATGAGAACTTGTAGAGTGTTAAGAATGGTTTTCTTCCCAGCAGCTACAGGTAAGGAATAGGGGCTGGGCTATTAATACATCTGCTACAAATCAATATACCCCTTTGCTCCTTTTGGTGATCGACAATGTATTTAAAAATATTAGATGATCAAGAAGGGCTGCAGAAAGGAGGAAACAGAAACAAACAGCACACCTCTTGGTTTATTTTTATTCATTTCATCTGTTTCAAGGAAAATGTTTTGGGAGTTCCTGGCATAGAGAATGTCACAAAGATATGTTTTCAATAGTGGTGCTATCCCTAGGGCAGAGAAGATCCAGAGAAATCCCAAGTGGCTGCTGGAACAAAGTCAGACACCGTGCCACCTGTCCACACTCCTTGGCTCTGCCATCATGCTGAAGATCGGTTTAAAGGGCTGGCTTCCCTCCCAGCAAAATTTAAAGAGCACAAACTGAGAAACTGAATATGGGAGACAGCAGTGGATTATGCTGTTCTCAGGGGTCGCCTCAGCTTTTGAAGCATTCTTTCAAATTAACCCATCTCAGGCCATCTGCAGAGAAGAAAGGTGGTACCTAACTTTTTTTCTTGTCAGCACTTGGTAGGGGTGTTTTGTTGACCAACTATGTTCCCACAACCTAGTTTTTTGAAACTAACTAAATATAGTAGATTTTTAAATTTTATCATCAAAATCTATAGACAATTTTTTATTAAAATAGGCTCCACATCTATGTCCTGCTTTTCTTCTTATTAATTACATTGCTGTATAAAAGAACAAGACTTCAGAATCAAGAATATCTTGTCTTCTGGCATTGAATTTATACAAGGTGCTCTTTCTTTAATGCTGTCTCAAAGGACATATTTTTACTCATTAAAAAGGAAGATCAGAATCTAGTTGTATGCACTGCTCCAACATATTAATAATTAAAATTAGGAGGTAAATGTGGTCAAAGCTATAGAAAGACTGAGATGTCATTTATACTGATTACTGTATAGCACTCTACAAACAGAAATTGTGAAATAATAGTTTATATAAATATTTTGTAGCATTTCAAATATTTGAGTGCCTGAAGTTTCTCCTCTTATATAGTTCAGATTATCAATTTGAAGACTTACTCCGCTGGTTAAAAGTTTTTAGTCTCGTTTGAGTATTATATAAAAGCAATTTTCAGTTAAATGTGTTCCGCTTACATAAAACATTACTAATTAGTGAGTATTTAATTACATTTTCGTGTTCTTGTAATGCCTTTAGAAGATTTTCATATTATTACCTATCAATATATGTATGCTTTGTCTAAGAAAAATCAATCATATGCATCATTGAAATTGAAACATTTTAAAAGTACATATTAATTCTATCGAAAAACCACATCCATAGGAGCAATTACAATATAATATTGTGAACATGTAAATATATATCCTGTCTATTTTATATATAAGCATATGTGATTAAAAATATAGTTAAGAATTTTTAAACCTAGTATTATAAAGTAAAAATTAGTTAAACTTCTGATGATTATTTGTTAATTAAGATAAAATTATTTTGATTTGGGTGATTTTAAATGAACAAAAATATTAAATTACATGACAAAAATTATTTATAAAATGTTTATGATTTTTACATTGGTTTTATCACTTTATTCCACTATTTTATTTTAAGATGACCTGCCTTGTTTAAAACACTGTATTCATCTTAATTTAATTAAATTTCATTTGTAAAAAAATTAACAAATGATTTGCTCTATTATACAGTGCAGTTATAAACTGAGTCAGTATCTCAAGATTTGATCCCCATTATCGTCATCCATGGCCCTATTTGTTTGATATATGTAGTGTCTTTTTCCATGCCTGTCACATCTCTATTTCTCATTTATTTTTCTCCTTGTCCCTTATAGGGAGCATTGCCTATCTCTAGATTAAGCAAAATTTGCCTCTTAAAAAAGCACAATAACCTGCTCAATCTTTCTCACACAGAGAAATGTTTGTTAAGTAATTAAAGTGTAGATGATGATACAAAGAGCTTGATTAAATAAGATGCCAAAGTACCCTGGTGATTCAGAATATGAATGGTATTTAATGCCTTTGAAATCAATAATTGCTGAGTGACATTAATTAATGCCAATATTTCAGAAGTTGTTCTGGTTAGTGAAATGTGTACAACATGTAAAAATTTCCGAACTCTGAAGGGCAACATTATTCTATAATTAAGAATTAAGAATTAATTCACATTAATTATTGGGGAGAAATAATTTTAAGAATTAATGACTGACTGAGAAAATGTTTTTATTTTTTATTTAGAAAATTATTTTGTGCATGAGCATTACTGCAAGTTTTGCAAGAAACATAAATTTATAGAAAACATTATGTGCACAAGATGATTTTAATAACATCTTGATATTTTCCACTATTAACAGTTGTATTTGGTAAATCTTTAAATACCCATCATCTAAAGATAATAAATGAATCTTGGAAATCTTGTAGGTAAGGGTAAATATAAGGATGCATCCAATTACATTTACACACACATACAATTACATTTACACAAACATACATGCACAGACTCTCACTGATACAGGTATGCATATATATACATGAATTTACCAATTGATTTTAACTAATATTTATAAGAGTCTGTAGGATTGATATATATTGTTGAACCTGAAAAATATTTATTATATACCTGTTTAAAATACACAAAGAAATAAATAGTAATTGCACTAGGCATTTGAAACTGTACTTATATATAAGCTGTGAACATTTTGTGATCATTACAAATTATTACACTGAATAAATATTTTTATTTTTATAATAATATGTTTGATACATGTGTACATTTTTTTAAATGTATTATTTTTGTCATAGAGTCAGGTCATGTATAATAACATTTCAAAGATGGATTACATATACAAAAGTGGTCCCATGAGATTATAATACATATTTTTACATACTTTTCTATGTTTAAGTATGTTTAGATACATAAACTCTTACCACTGTGTTTTTATTGCCTGCAGTATTCAGTATAGTAATGTAGTACACAGGTTTGTAGCCTAGGAGAGAGAGGTTATACCATATAACCTAAACGTAGTAGGCTGTACAAACTAGGTGTTTGTAATATTCTCTCTGACGTTTGCAAAATGATGAAATTGCCTATGGATGCATCTGTTAGAACGTATCCCTGTCATTCAGTGATTTGTGACTGTGCTAAAATGCTAAATCTAAGTTTCAATGACCTCCATAAAATTGTTGTACTGTGAAATACAAATCTCTCACCTATGGCCTGAATATGTTTGCAAACTAAGCAGATCATGGGAAGGAGAATGTGCTGGCATCGCTGGGAAGATTTTCTCACACTACATGAATAATATCTCCAGACTTTGCGAATATGAGCCACTTGCATAGAGTTAAATAAGCATCTCTTTGCTGGGAAATTTATCAAATGGGAGTATGAAGTGTTTTTAAAAGATACTTGTTTGTTTGTAGACAGTAGGCCTACAGTGGCTCATGGCAATGGTTGAGGTTGCTAAGATTTGGTGGAAGGAGGAAAAATGAAATGGCCACTTATATGGTATATGGATCACTTGTTTCTGTTGAGTTACAGATTCAGCTGGCTATTTCTCCCAATGTTAGTTATTTGGAGAAAAAAACATGATGGTAATTTTGGTGTAACAAATACAATATTTGATGAAAGCAAATTTATTGAGGGTTAGACAAACTACAAGATAATTTAGGCTGCAAAGTCAACACGAGACTTCTGGCCCAAATTGTGCAGAGTTTGGGTCCAGCTGCAAAGTTCAAAGGAAGAGGCCATATAAGATGATTCGCACTTTTGTCACCAACTGCCAGTTCAGGGGTTTCCCCAGAACACCCTCAGTTTCAAGAATTTACTAAAAAGATACACAGAACTCATTGAATGCCATTGTACTCATGGTTTATAATAGAGAAAGGGTAGAAATTAGGACCAATCAAAGGAAGAGACATATCACATAAGGTGGAATCTAGGAGGATTTTGAATAAGTTTCCATTGTCTTCAGGACATATTACCTGTCATTGTTGTACAGCAATAAACATGGAGTACTACCAACCTGGGGAGCTCACCTGATGCTAAAAAGACACTATTTTGAAAATGAAAAGACAAAGGAAAGGATGAGATAAGATGACCTTCCACATTAAGGCACTGGAAAGAATAGCAAAATAAACCTAAAAAAAGCAGAAGGAAGAAAATAAAAATTAGAGAAATTAATAATTTATAATATTAATCATATTTGTTAGTATTGACTAATTGATATTAATTCTTGACTGACTTTTTTTAAAAAGAGAAATATTCACTTCCCAATTTATTCTGTGGGGCCAGTGTTACCTTGATACAAAAATTAGTCCAAATAACATAGAAAAATAAAACTACTATAAGTATAAATGCAAAATTCCTTAAAAACTACTAACAAATCAGATCTAGCAACATATAAAAGAATTATACACTATGACAAAGTGAAATTTATACTAGTAATCTCAGGTTGGTTTAACAGCCCAAAATCCATTAAGGTAATACATCTTATTCATAGAATAAGAAACAAGAATTGCATGATCATGTCGATAGATTTGGAAAAGACATTTAATAAAATCCAAATGCTTTTACGATTAAAAATAAAAATAAAAACTCAATGAACCAGGAATAGAGAACTTTCTACACCAGATACATGGCACCTGTGAAAAGCCAACAGCAAGCATGCAACTTAATGGTAAAGGATGCTTTCCCGCTATGGTCAGAGATAAGAATAAGATATATACTTTGACCTCTTCTAGTCAACACTGTACTAAAGATTTTATGCAGGGCAAATCGGCAACTAAAAAAATAAGAGTCACCCATATTGAACAGGAAGAAATAAAACTTTATTTGAAGATAACATTCTTGTATATAGAAAATTTTAAGGAATCCACTGAACGATAGAACTAGTAAATTATTTCAGCAATATTACAGCATACAAGATAAATGTACAAAAATCAATTGCACACATCTACAATGAAAACCCCAAAATGAAATTAAGAAAACACTTCAATTTAAAATAGCATCAAAAAAAGAAATAATAATTAATTTGGAAAATGTGATACAAGATTTTACTCTGAAAATTAAAAATTATTGTTTAAAGAAGATCTAAATAATTAGCAAACAACTTACAGCCATGAATTGGAAGATTTAATATTGTAGTACTTTACAAGTTGAACTACAGATTTGACGTAATCCCTGCAAGTATTCCAACAGACTTCTGTCTAGAAACTGACAAGTTGAATCTAAAATACACATGGGATTGTAAGGGACTCAAAATAGCCAAAATAATCTTGAAAAAAAACCATATTAGGATAATTCACACCCCCGTGCTCCAAACTTTACGGCAAAGCATCAGTAATCAAGACAACACAATACCGATGATGGAAAAATATATAGATTGATGGAAGAGAATTGAGAGTCCATATATAAAACTATGTATCTATAGTCAATGGATTCTTACAGTGGTGCCATGTGCAATTCAATGAGGAAGAGACAGTCTTTGAACAAACTAGGTCAACAATGTACACGTGGATCGCCACTTGCAAAATAATAAATTGGAACACTTATCCCAGAGCATACAAAAATATTAACTCAAATGAATTAAAGACATACATGCAAGATCTAGAATAAAGCATATGGGAAAATCTTCAGGATTTTGGATCTAGCAAAGAAATAGCTGTAACACCAAAAACATGAGCAACAAAATAAAAATTAGATATTTAAAATTTCTTAAAAATTAAAGACATTGGTGTTTCAAAGGACAACCAAGCAAGTCAAAGGCAGCTCAAAAATTGTGAGAAAATATTTGAAAAACACATATCTATATGTCTGCATATATATGTATCTTGAATATAGAAAAATTGTTTTAATTCAGTAACAAAAATCCCAACTCAAAACTGATAAATGATAGGAATAGATGTGTATCCCAAGGAGATACACGAACGGTCAATAATCCCATAAAAAGTTACTCAACAGCATCACTCATCAGGCAACTACAAATCAGAAACACAGTTAGATACTCTATGGCTAGAACTGGCCACTTTGGAAAATAGGTTGATGGCTTCTAAATATATTAAACATAGAATTGTCATATGACCCAGAAATTTATTCCCAGGTATACACCCAGAGTATTGGAAAGAGGTGTTCAAACACAAATTGTACACAAGTATTTTTAGCAGCAGTATTTAAAATAGCCAAAGGCTGAACACAACTCAAATGTCAATAAAAATATTATTGGATAAACAAAATGTTATATCCATGAAATTGAATGTTATACAGTTATAAAAAGAAATAAAGTACCAATACGCTATGAACCTTGATAGCATTATGCCAACTGAAAGAAGCCAGGCACAAAAGACCACCTGTTGTATGATTCTATTTAGATGAAAATAGAATAGGAAAATCTACAGAGACAGAAAACAGATTTGTGGCTGCTTAGGATTGAGTAGGGGATGAGTGCATAGGAGGTTAACAGCTAGAGAAGGTGGGGTTTCTTTTTGAAGTGATGAAAATGCTCTAAAATTCATTGTGATGATGGCTCCACTTATCTGTGTATATACTAAAAGCCATTGACTTGTAGACATTAATATGTGCACTCTACAGTATGTAAATTATATCTCAATAAATCCTTTCAAAAATACACAGAAGACTAAGGGGTTTTGGAATGTTGCAGCTGGGAGGCAGTTTAAAATACTGAATAGGTCTCATCGAGAATGTGAGGTTTCAGTAAAGACTTGAGGAAGTTGAATGAGCTGATCAATGGATATATGGAGGGCTATCTTTCCAAGCCAAGAAATTAACTAGAGTCTTGGTCATAAGACAGCAGCATGTTGGCATGTCCAGAGGACAGTGAGGTGGACAGGACCACTGGTAAGATCAAGGGTGAAGACATAAAAGAATTTTGGCAGTTAACATGCGGCAGATCATGATGGGCTTGCAGACCATTGTACGAATTGTGTCTTTTAGTGTAAATGAAATGGGGAGACAAATCATTACCCCATTATCAATATTTTAATAAATTGGATCCATGAACCAAATACAATGAGATTAAATCAATTAGTAATAATATGCAGATTTGTATTAAAATTACAAGAATTACTTGCACGTTTGAGAACAGGAGAGTCATGATTGTTTATCAGCAATAATAAACTATTAATTTTAATTGTCATCAGCTAATTGAGATTAATTGCAATACATCATGCTTTATAATGTGACTGTCAAAAGGAAAATATGATTGTAATCTTATACTACATCTATCAATGTCTTTGATTCATAGGACTATAGAATAAGCCCCTAGTTTTCAAAGCCAACTGATGAGGCAGTGACATCTTATGCAAGTTTGCTGCTTTCTGCCACAGTGATCCTTGGTCAGCTGGCACAAATTGTTTTACAAACACCACTAGGTCTAAAAAAAGTTTGGATCACAACGAACACAGAAACACCTTCATCCCTTCAGAAATACCTATCAATTACTTCCAATACAGAATGAAAAATTGACAACGGAAGTATGTTGATTGTAAAAATGCCAGATAGCTTGCATCTACATGAAAGAAAAATGCCATTTTTATTACAATAGATCATGGTTTTACATGAGTTTTGGAATAGCACAATGTTGAACCAAGGGCAAAGAAAGATGAATTAATGAAGTCTTAAGATGTCAAGAATTTGAAAGAAAAGGAAGGTCATCTTTGAAGGTTAGTGACATAGCATTCATCTTCCGTTGTCACCTTTTCCATCATTCCCTGTATGCCTGATGGACAGCTTTCACTCAAGTTCAGAGAACAGCATGCAAAGATTAGCTACCAACAAATTTTTATGAAGTGAGCTTAATTTCTAACCAGACTGAGCTTATGTTTTAGCAGGAAGCATTTTTGGGAAATGTTTAAGTTAGAGTTTGCCCTTCTTGACAAGGTGAGACATAAATGTCTACTTTATAGACATGAATTAAGATGGGAAGATATTTGGGGGAAGCATTTTCTCAAATGCTAAATAACAAAGGTACACAAAGGGGAAATTATACTAGATTTATTTCCCACTTGTTTTCTATGTCTCATCCAATTCATCTTGATTCCCTTCAGTTTCTGTTTAATGTAGAAAGTGGCATTTTCATTATTTTAAGCTTCTACCACAATGAAAGAATTTCTCTTTTTCATGAACTCATCATAAATGAAAGGGAGGAAGAGTGTCCAATATCATATTTATTGTTCAACAAAACACTGCTCCACGGCTTAAATTCAGTTTAAAAAAGAGAATTTATTGAACATCTAACACATACATAAAAGGCAGTAAAGACAAATGAGAAGAGGGCAGGATATTGAAGTATACAGACTTTAATGCTGAGTTCTGTATCTTAGTAAGTTACTGCACCTTACAGAGACTCAGTTTCGCCTGATTTAGGAAGGCGATGCTAATGGGTATTGCATAGGTGTAAGTATAAAAATGTTGTAATTAAGAGAATCCCACAAGCTTGGTATAAGGCAGAAAATAAATAGATGTGACATTAATGAGTAGTTTATTACATTTGTATGCTACCTGCAGACTAGAGGAAGCAAGAAACACAGCCACTATGCTTGATTAGCATTGTATTCTAATTTGGAATATAAATAGAAAAGAGAAAAATAGAAAGCTATGCATAAACACATGCATTAAAATGAATTTTATGTGGACTTTTTCAGGAAAATGTTCTTAAGGTATTTTATTTTTTTATTGTGGTAAAATACACATAACGTAAAATGTACTCTGTTAACCATTTTAAGTGTACTGCTCAGTGGTACTAGAGTCATAACATTGTGCAGCCATCCCTACCATCCATCTCCATAACTCGTTTCATCTTGTGAAACTGAAACCCTATACCCATTAAATAGTACTTCCCCATGTCTTCCTCCCCCCAGCTTCTGGCAATCATCATTTTACTATCTCTATGATTCTGTCCACTTTAAGTCTCTTATACAAATGGAATTATACTGTATTTGTCCTTCACTGACTAACATTTAATTTGGCATAATATCCTCAAGTTTCTTCCAAGTTGCAACATATGTCAGAATATTTCCCTCATGTTTAAGGCTGAATAATTTTCCATTGTATGTATACTTCATGTTTTGCTTATCCATTCATCTGTTGTTGGACACTTCAATTGCTTCTATATTTTAGCTATTGCCAATAATGCTGTTGCAAACATGGATGTGCAAATATTTTTTCAAGACGCTGCTTTCAATTCTTTTGCTATCTTGAGATGTGGGGCTGCTGAATCATAAGGCAATACCATTTTGATGTTTTGAGGAAATATCATACTCTTTTCCACAGCAAACATAGGGTTTGGCATTCCCTCCAATATTGCAAAAGGAATCGCCACATCTTTGCCTGTGGATTTTATTCACAAGTCCTGTGGCTCTCTCTACATCCCGGCCACCATGTGTTATTTCCTGTTTATATATATGACATCAAAGGTGCAGGAAGTAATGAACTAAATTGGAAGGATAAACATGTAGAAAAATAGAGGTAAATACTGACTACATAAAACCATAAGAATAAGAATTTTGGATGATCTATCTACTATATATCTATTTATCTAACATCTATATGTTCCTCCATCTGTAATTAAAATATATTACAGTTAGAGAACAGAGAAAAAAGTAGGAATACATGAATTTAAATTTTATTTCTTCTTAGATTGTCTCACAGCATCATTATATGACAGAAAATTTATAGGTCAGTATCTGTTAACTATAAATGTAATATTCTTAAAGTATTCAAATACATTGAATTACAGCATGAATAATATATTACAATCCATTCAAGTTTATTTTATTCCAGGAACACAAAAATACAAATTTCATTTGCAATTCAAGAAAAACAGAAATCGATACATATGATTGATGTATATACACATTTAATGTATTTTTAAATATACATTTTTAAAAATAGAAATTTTTCTAGGACAACTACTTAAAATATCACTGAAAATAGTGTTATTAGATAATACCTTCCTAATAACTCTGGTATTTCATAAGAAAACAAAATTAAAATTTCAGATAAGCTTAGAAACTAAAAATTTTAAAAATATTATTCTGTTCTCCATATGTTCATATTTAATATTATTTCTTGTTTTCATTCTTCTTCAGTGTTGCTCTACTAAAATATAACATACTATAGTTACTTTTTATTTCTGTTCTTATTACTCAAAATTGTATACATTTTCTCATGCTCTTAATTTAGCTATGCTACTTTTCTTTACTCCTGGAATTTTCACATTTGTGTTCACGCTCTTTTGAGTTCCCATAGTACCAAATAAGCTTTTTTCCCTCTTTCTGATTTGAAGGTTCATCTTCTCATAATTATTTTGTCCACTCAGTTTCTTTTCATTCTCAGTTAAGTGCCTCTCATCTGGCTTCTTTTCATTTGTAAGGTTTCCTTTCATCTTAAGCCAGTCTTTTATTTATATTTTGATTCTGTTTTGTGGAGGACATATTTCCCTGAATTTTAAGGAAGAGGTCAAAAAGTTTGTTCAAGTTTTTACCTGATACATTGGATTAAATTATCTAATGTACAGACCTTAATTTAAGTCTAGGGGCGACTGTCTACTCTCGGTTTTGTATAGTATTATTTTTATTAACATCCAAGTCCATCTTCATCTATTTGTATATGATCAATAAAAATATATTTGTCCAGAACCCTGCTTTGGTGGAGTTACTTCTTTCTAAGTAGGAGAGGTAGCAGTTGAGACATGAGCTGGGTTCTGGGTCAGTTTAGAGGGCTGGGCGACATTCCTCCTTTTGCTCTGTATGACTGAATGAATGCGGTTCTTGCTGTCTCGCTCCTCTCCTTAACACATTGAGCCATTGCAGCAGATGAGAAGGAATAATCCTGATCTGCCATTCAGGTGGAACACATGTTCTCTCCAACCACATCCATAGGTTGTACTCACACTCGGCCAAAATGTATCCTGTCAATGATATGGAGATGTATCTAGCTATCTAGATAGATATCTACTTTGGTTTATGCTCTCTGGTTGCCCGTAACTTATCTCCTTAAAGTGAATATCAAAAGAGAGCTTGGTGATGGCAGTGTTAAAAAACCCTCAAAATGCAGCACCCACACCCAGAGGAATTTGTAGATTCTGGGATTCTAATTCAGATACCAAACTATATAAAAGGGGCATTGGTCATTGAGGGTTGCTAGGCTCTTTGTGGAACATATTTGCTCTTTTCATGACTTTGAAATTATTTTAAAAATCTAACCATGTTCTCAGTGTCCTGCAAGATGATCTGATTTTAATGCCCAAGCATTAATTCTCACCTAAGATTTGTACAATATATTTGCTCTGACAAGCCATAGCCAGCAACTCACTTCACAGCAATTTATAGCATTTCCACGACAAGTTGAATTATTTTTAACTAGACTCTCTTTGCCTTAATAAAAATATGAAGAAGCAATATACTTGTTCTAGTTAGGTTCAAAAGTTGGCAGTCTCTCTGCTGGAAAGAATAATAAAACTTTTCAGCAGCCTAATATGCATCTATAGACACACACACACACACACACACACACACACACAGGCACTATTCATAATATTTAAAGCACATTCTGTTCTATGACTTCATTTGTCTAGCACAAAATAAAACGATCTTAGTATATGTCAAGTACCAATTTTTTCGTATGGCCAATTATAGATATTTTACTTTTTAAAGATTAAAGTGTTCTTGAAGCTCTTTCTATTTCTTTGTCAATGAACTAAACATTGGCAAATATGTAGGGTTTCCCACATAAGAACATTATTAACATCAAAATAGAAAGCTGGTGGTAGAAATAATGATTGGGAACACAGGGTCTCTACTCAGCATTCTACTTCTGCCATACCATAACTTTGTGATCTCAAGAAATATCTCTCCATGTTGTCATCCCTATGTATAGTTCTGTCATTTTTCAATAAGAGCTTTTTGCTTAATTATGAAGTACTAGTTACTATAACCATTATTTTGAGCTTCATGTAAATCAAGAACACATGGACTCCACTTGCAAAACATCGAAAATGTAGTTAGGGATTGGGGGCATAAAGCAACATTTTAAAATGTGTAAAGACCATGAGTAAGCAACAAAGTGTCCAATTTTTTACGGGAAAGTTGCATACGTCAGGAAAAGTCAGGATTAAGTAACAGAGAATTTGAATGATAACTGGCCAATTGGTGTAATTTACAATTGCAAGTCATACAAATGAAGTTTGCTTTTTTAAAGAGAAAAGGAGTTAGTTAGAATGGGTCAACCTATTGGGGAAGCAATGTAGTTAGAGACAATGCCCAAAACCATGTGAGCAAATGCTTTGTAGAGCGCACCCCTGCAATGCTGCCATTGTGAGGCCAAATCTCTCCTCGTCTTGGTACTGAGCCCTCCGTTCTGCCTCCATCATTGCCACCGTAGCTGCCACAAAATGATCCCTCAACCACAGCTGCCCAGGAACAAAGAAACAATTCTGTCCTTCCGCGATCTCAGATCAATTTCCAACATCAGGTGAGCCTTTGATGGGCACTATTCATTTCCCATATCCCTGAAATAGATGCCGTAAAAACACAGAAATTCCCTATGTGTTTCCCAATAAGACACATATGGAAGCCTGTTTTCCCACAACAGGAAGGGGTTTCCACGATGGGTGTTCAAAGGAACAATATTCCCTGTAAACCATACTTTGCCCATATGAAGAAAAGCAAAAAGATTATTTAGTAAATAGACATGGAACCTCATCCAGGGTTGGCTGATGAGAAGCTGGTTAGCAAGGGGGTCTGCCTTCAGTTAGGACAAGGTCTGTGCTTCCCACGGGTTCTCTCCACAGCAGGAGGGATGCAAACTTCCCTTTCCTCCCCTGCACCTACCCTCAAATGGCCCAGAGGTCTTCAGGTGCTAGAATTTCTCAATTAATGCTGCACAAAATAACAGACAGCCTTGACTGTCACAGTCTGTTTTCATGAAGCTAGTCTCTGCTTACTACATAAAACAGAAGAGTAAGAACAAAGGTGTTAAACACTACCCTAGCTCAAACAAGTTTCTCTCTGTAGGATGCCAAGAACCTGGGAACCAGTGCATCTGCTGCTTTCCCTTCTCGGATTCTAGCCCAGACAAAAGAGGCAAGGGGCATTTCTCCAGAGGCCTTGAGCTTCACTACACAATGCCCCAGGCTCTGCATGCACCCTCTTTATATATTTCTACCTTGAAAAAAATTTTTATATAATATTAATAATATATGTGTTTATATAAGAAACACACGTTTATTTTATAGATAGATATAGATATACATAGATGAAGATCTCTAGTCAGCCTTTTTTAAGGCTGGGCTGATCGCGGTGCCTCAAAACTATAATCCCAGCACTTTGGGAGGCCAAGGTGGCCAGATCTCTTGAGTCTAGGGGTTGGAGATCAGCCAGGGCAACATGGTGAAAACCCATCTTCACAAAAATTAGCTAGTATGGTGTCATGCACCTGCAGTCCCTGCTACTCAGGAGACTGAGGTGGGAGAATCGCTTGAGCACAGTATGTGAAGGCCTCAGTGAGCTCTGATCACATGACTGCACTCCATCTTGGGTGACAAAGTGAGACCCTCTCTCAAAATAAAATAAAATAAAAAGGCTACCACCATACTCACAGATAAGTGTGTCAGGTATATTTGCAGCTATCTTTCCTATATTCTATTTGGTAAAAAAAAAAAAAGAAAATTGCGAAGAACTCTTCTCATTCTAGATTTTTGTATTAATTAGACATTTGAAGTTTATAGCAGAAGAGCTATAATCATGTTTGGTATGTGTACCCTATAGACCAGATAGTGCAAACAGATATCAATGCTTTTTAAAAGTATATAACGTTATTAGAAATATTTTAAACTACCTATAGGTATATATGTATCTAATTGAGCTATCAAATGCAAGTAAGATCATTTCCTTAGCGTGTGAAATGCACTCAATTTATTAAAATATTTTCTAATATCTATTACAGTAATATTTCCTAATTATCTAACATAAGAGGAGTTTTAAGACATTTATTTATATGTACTTACTAGATTCAAACTCGATTCCACTATTTTCAGAAATCATGCTCTGAGACAAGTCCTTTTTTTATCTAACTATGTTTCTACCTATATTAAAAGACAGATATGTCAATTTTGCTAATCATGCTATTCCAAACCTCCCCATCCTATTTTTCGGATTGTTCTACCAGTCATTCAGAGACTTACTTATATTCAAATTTCTCTCTAGGTTTAACATTCGTGTATGTCTTCTTGTGTTTTTGTCTATTTTTGCTGTATATAATTTAAGACATTTATTGACATATATCATACATGTAGAAAAGTACAATAATTAAATATGGATAGCTTCATTAATGAAACACATGTATTTGCTTATAACCATGTATGAAAATAGAACATTACTAAAAATAGAGATACTTCTCCTGCCCCTTTCCAAACACTAACCCTCATCCTCAATAGTAACAGATTTTTTTTTATCATAGAGTAATTTGGTCTATTTTCAAATTTTTATTAAATAAATCAGAGTATCTACTCTAAGTCTATGTTTCTTTCATTGTTGTTATTTTGCTTATGGTATTTATCTGCTAATGGACATGGTAGATTAAAGACGGCTACATACACATTTTTTAATTAATAGATTTTTTGAGCACTTTGTGGATCATGCCTCTGATCCCACCACTTTGGGAGGCTGAGGTGCGTGGATCATGAGGTCAGGAGATAGAGACCATCCTGGCCAACGTGGTAAAACCCCTTCTCTACTAAAATACAAAAAATTAGCTGATAGATAACATCAAGATAACATCTGGGTTCTTAGCTGCACTGAGTCAAGCCTACTTACATCTTTGTTTGTCTTCCTCTGCACTTTTCCTTCCACATCACACTCCAGGAATGCCAAGCAGTGCTGGCCTTCTACCCCATTTCCACTATTTTGCCCCCGCCGACGTGGCTTTTTGCCGCCATGGATTTTTGCCCCCGTCGCTGCGGGTTTTTGCGGCTTTATGCCTCCGCCGCCGCAACTTTTTGCCCCGGCCGCCGTTGCTTTCTTCCCCCGCCGCCGCGGTTTTCTGCCCCCGGCCTCGCGGAATTTAGCCCCTGCCGCCGCGGCTTTTTGCGTCTTTCTCCCCCCGCCGCCGCGGCTTTTTGCCCCCGAAGACACGGCTTTTTGTCCTCGCCGCCGTGGCTTTTTGTGGCTTTTTCCCCCTGCTGCCGCAGCTTTTTGCCC
>NT_187393.1:0-5301 GCF_000001405.40 Homo sapiens | reverse complement strand
GGCTTTTTGCCCCCACCATTGCGGCTTTTTTGCGCCCGCTGCAGCGGCTTTTTGCCCCCGCCGCCGCGGCTTTTTGCCCCCATCACCGCGGCTTTTTACCCGCCGCCGCGGCTTTTTGCTGACGCGGCTTTTTACTCCCGCCGCCACAGGTTTTTACCGCTACGGCTTTTTCACCCCGCCATCGCGGGTTTTTCCCCCACCGCCGCGGCTTTTTGCCCCCACTGCCGCGGGTCTGAGGAGGGGATCCGCAGACTCGGCTGCCAGATCTACCAGCGTCCTGGCTAAGGCAGCGCCGAGGGTCGCTCCTGGTCCAGCTCCCCGGTTCGGAAGTTCCTTACCTAGACACCCGCGCCCCAGGCTCCGCTCCTGGGCCGCTGCCGCCTGCATACAGCAGCGCTGTGCTCGGCCCCGATGGGAGAGAAGAAGGAGAGTGGTGGCGGGGGTGACGCGGCTATCGCGAAGGGAGGCGCAGGGGCCGCGGCCAGCCGGGTGCTGCAGCAGTGCGGGCAGCTCCAGAAGCTCATCGGCATCTCCCTTGGCAGCCTGCGCGGGCTGCGCACCAAGTGCGCTGTGTCCAAGGACCTCACCCAGCAGGAGACATGGACCGTGGAGGTAAGGGGGTCAGGGACCAGGACTGGGCTCCAGCACCGGACTGGACATCTCCCTCGGGGCCCCAGTTCACTCCTGGCCGAGTTGCGTCCTTGAGCCCGCGTCACCCCCTTGGAGGCTTCTCCTCCCTCCTGCAATCGCTGATGCGGCAGCCGGAGGACCCGGGACCAGTCATCACCTTGGGCGGGATTTGTGGGGTGGGTGCGTGTTGGGAACTGTGATGAGGCTCGAGGGGCCCGTGGGCGGTGTGGGCTTCGCGCGGACATCCCCTTACGCCCCGAATTTCCATCTGGTGCAGACTTCTCATCTTGTAGGCGAAGAAACCGAAGGCCTGAGGGAGAAATGACTTGCCAGGAACCCCTGTTAAGAAAAATTAACAAAGTGTGGTTATCAAAGGAGAACTGAGTTAGGATTCAGACCTGGAGTCTCACACCCTTGGTTTAGACATTATACCACCTTGAGTCTGGCCTGTTGACTGAGGGTGAGCCACTCCATCCTTGTCTGATTGTAGGGTCTTGACCTCAAGGGGTTTCCTGCAGGAAGAAGCAAATGGGTTTGCTTTCCTAGCTCTGTCCAGTACCTTAGGGACCCTGAGAACTGGAGAGATTCTTGGAGAGCCATCTGGTGTATGTCATGGGTGGGCCTTGTTTGAAGGTCAGTCTGCGCGTGGGCTGGCTCAGCCCGAATGAACTCTCTTGAATCTTTGGAGTTGTCTGTGTACTTTTAAGGGTTTCTCATCCTTGCACCAAAAGATCCCCTGGAAATTAGGTGGGAAAGCCTTAACTTTTGTGGAGCCTTGTATTTGTCTTAAAAGTTCATGCACATAGCCAGGTGTGGTGGCTCACACCTGTTATCCTGTCCTGGATCCCTTGAGTCAAGGAGTTTGAGACCAACCTGCACAATATAGTGAGACCCCATCTTTACAAAAAATAAAATATTAGCCAGGAGTGGTTGTGCACATCTGTAGTCCTAGCTACTACTGTGGCTGAGGCAGGAGGAGCACTTGATCCTGCACTGAGCTGTGATCTCACCAGTGTACTCCAGCCTGGGCCACAGAGCAACACCTTGACTCAAAAAAAAAAAAAAACCAACAAGAAAAATTCTTGAAGATTTTTCATTCTGTCCCACTATCCATTTGTTTTCATGTCAAGATAATGTCAGAAATTCTTTACAATTGCTTCCAGAAGGAGTAGCCTTTTGATCTAGTGCACAGGTGTCCAGTCTTTTGGCTTCTCAGGGCCACATTGGAAGAAGAATGCTCCTGGGCCACAGATAAAATACACTACTGCTAACAATAGCTGATGAGCTTAAAAAAAAAAGGTTTGTGCATAATTTTCATGATACCCACCACCACAGATAGGCGGAAAAGTCCTTGTAGTCAAAGGGTTGGACACGGCTGATCTAGTGTCTTGTCGTCCGTTTTGTCTTTCTCCCTGATTCCAGAATGCAGATAGAGATGTAGAGACATGCTCTCAGGACAGCTGTTGAGATAAAAAAATTCGTTGTCATTTATTCCCAAGGACAGCTGTTTGTCATTTGCATTGAAAAAGTCTCCATTCAAACTGCTGTCACATATAAAATCTACTTATATGTCTGTATTTTTCTGTTTTCTTGGCCTTTGTGGGCAGTAGTGTGTTTTAACTGAGCAAACTGTCCTTCCAAATAATGAAGCCGAAGTCAGCCTACCTGCTTGCCATTTTTCTTCCCCTTCCATTTTTCTAACCTCAGGATGATTGTAAGAATGAATTAAGATTTGTGTTTAAGGCCGGGCACAGTGTCTCAGGCCTGTAATCTCAGCACTTTGGGAGGTGGAGACGGATGTATCATTTGATCTCAGGAGTTGAAGACCAGCCTGGGCAACATACTGAGACTCCGTCTTGTATAATTAAATTAAAATTTAAAAAAAAGAGAGAAAAGACCTGTGTTTAAAATTTTAAAAAAGGATCGAAGGTGTAATGCAAAATGTGGACTATGCTAGCTATGATTGGGAAAAATAATTTTTCATACAGCATTATCTGTTGACTTGTATTAGCAGCATACTGGTCATAAGCTTTCTGCTTTCATCAAATATGATGAGGTAAGCTACTTTAAAGTGTGGTGGGTCTTTCTTCCGCATGGCTCCTGGAGGTGTTGAGTCCCAATTTAGCCAATTAATTTGGGTTTAGTTTTGATATGGATAAGGGAGACCAGCTTCATTCATGATGCACACACAGTTTTGCCAGTAAGGAAAAAAAAAGCAACCTGAATGTTCCTGCTCATTAGATGCTATCTGGAGAGCTCCTACCCCACCACCACAAAGGCCCTGTCCCTTAAAAAGACTCAATGCAGCCTTTCTGCATCTCATACTGTATTCTGCAAGATGCTCCTGTGAAAGAAAGTTGTGCTGCATCAGCCATCTCCCTCCTGAAGATCCCTGCGGATGAGGATTTGTGTTTTAAAGGTTGTCAGAAGTCCTGCCACAACAGTTCTCACACTTATATGTCCAGGGGATCTTTTCTTCCACTGAACATAGTTGGGGAGACATGGCCTTAAGCCTTGAGCAGAGAAAGAGACAAGAAACTGTTGGCTCACTTACAACCAAGTGTTGTGTTTATGTTTTAGGTTTCTATGAAACTGAGGTGCTGTTTGAGGTTCTGAATCAAATTGGGTGGTTGAAAAGAGGCTGGTATCCCTGTAGACGTTGCCAGCCATGAGAGGTTGACTTTTGTTGAAGGAGGTGTTTTACAAAGGGAAATAGGGTGTTTCCCGGGCATCACATTAGCACTTAAATACATGTATCACTGAAATGAAATGAAATGATGAAATGATGGCATGAAATGAAATGAAATGATGAAACGAAATGATGAAATGAGGAAATGAAATGAAATGATAAAATGATGAAATGAAATGATAAAATGATGAAATGAAATGAGATGAAATGAAATGGTGAAATGATGAAATGCTGAAATGAAATGAAATGATGAAATGAAATGATGAGATGAAATGAAATGATGAAATGATGAAATGGAATGATGAAATGAAATGAAACGACGAAATGAAATGGTAAAATGAAATGAGCAAATGAAATGAAATGCTGAAAGGAAATGATGAAGTGAAATGGTGAAATGAAATGAAATGAAGAAATGGTATGAAATGATGAAAGGAAGAAATGGTATGAAATGATGAAATGAAATGATGAAATGAAGTGAAATGATGAAATGATGAAATAATGAAATGAGGGGTGGAGCCAAGATGGCCAAATAGGAAAAGCTCTGGTCTACAGCTCCCAGCGTGAGCGATGCAGCAGATGGGTGATTTCTGCATTTCCATCTGAGGTACTGGGTTCATCTCACTAAGGGAGCGCCAAACAATGGGTACAGGACAGTGAGTGTAGCCCACCGTGTGGGAGCCGAAGCAGGGCGAGGCATTGCCTAACTCAGGAAGCACAAGGGGTCTGGGAGTTCCCTTTCCTAGTCAAAGAAAGGGGTGACAGACGGCACCTGGAAATTCGGGTCACTCTCACCCTAATACTGCACTTTTCCAACAGGCTTGGAAAACGGCACACCAGGAGATTGTGTCCTGCACCTGGCACAGAGGGTCTTATGCCAATGGAGTCTTGCTGATTGCTAGCACGGCACTCTGAGATCAAACTGCAGGGCGGCAGCGAGGCTGGGGGAGTGGGGCCCACCATAGCCCTGGCTTTCTTAGGTAAACAAAGCAGCCAGGCAGCTGGAACTGGGTGGAGCCCACAACAGCTCCAGGAGGCCTGCCTGCCTCTGTAGGCTCCACCTCTGGGGGCAGGGCACAGACACACAAAAAGTCAGCAGTAACCTCTGCAGACTTAAATGTCCCTGTCTGACAGCTTTGAAGAGAGGAGTGGTTCTCCCAGCACACAACTGGAGATCTGAGACTGGGCAGACTGCCTCCTAAAGTGGGCCACTGAACCCCGAGCAGCCTAACTGAGAGGCACCCCCCTGTAGGGACAGACTGACACCTCACTCGGCCGGGTAGTCCTCTGAGACCAAACTTCCAGAGGAATGATCAGACAGCTGAATTTGTGGTTCACGAAAATCCGCTGTTCTGCAACAACTGCTGCTGATACCCAGGCAAACAGGGCCTGGCGTGGACCTCTAGTAAACTCTAACAGACCTGCAACTGAGGGTCATGTCTGTTAGAAGGAAAACTAACAAGCAGAAAGGACACCCACACCAAAAACCCATCTGTACATCACCATCATCAAAGACCAAAAGTTGATAAAACCACAAAGATGGGGAGAAAACAGAGCAGAAAAACTGGAAACTCTAAAAAGCAGAGTGCCTCTCCTTCTCCAAAGGAACGCAGTTCCTCACCAGCAACGGAACAAAACTGGACAGAGAATAACTTTGACGATTTGAGAGAAGAAGGCTTCAGATGATCAAACTACTGCGAGCTACAGGAGGAAATTCAAAACCAATAGCAAAGAAGTTAAAAACTTTGAAAAACAATTAAACGACTGTATAACTGGAATAACCAATGCAGAGAAATGCTTAAAGGATCTGATGGAGCTGAAAACCAAGTTTCAATAACTACGTGAAGAAGGCAGAAGCCTCAGGAGCCGATGCAATCAACTGGAAGAAAGGGTATCAGTGATGGAAGATGAAATGAATGAAATGAAAGGAGAAGGGAAGTTTAGAGAAAAAAGAATAAAAAGAAACGAACAAAGCCTCCAGGAAT
>NT_187392.1:81600-103838 GCF_000001405.40 Homo sapiens | reverse complement strand
TGGCAAATTGGATAAGGAGACAAGACCCATCAGTGTGCTGTATTCAGGAAACCCATCTCACGTGCAGAGACACAAATAGACTCAAAATAAAGGGATGGAGGAAGATCTACCAAGCAAATGGAAAACAAAAAAAGGCAGGGGTTGCAATCCTAGTCTGTGATAAAATAGACTTTAAACCAACAAAGATCAAAAGAGACAAAGAAGGCCTTTACATAACGGTAAAGGGATCAATTCAACAAGAAGAGCTAACTATCCTAAATATATATGCACCCAATACAGGAGCACCCAGATTCATAAAGCACGTCCTGAGTGACCTACAAAGAGACTTAGACTCCCCCACAATCATAATGGGAGATTTTAACATGCCACTGTCAACATTAGACAGATCAACGAGACAGAAAGTTAGCAAGGACACCCAGGAATTGAACTCAGCTCTGCACCAAGCGCACCTAATAGACATCTACGGAACTCTCCACCCCAAATCAACAGAATATACATTTTTTTCAGCACCGCACCACACCCATTCCAAACTTGATCACATAGTTGGAAGTAAAGCTCTCCTCAGCAAATGTAAAAGAATAGAAATTATAACAAACTGTCTCTGAGACCACAGTGCAATCAAACTAGAACTCAGGATTAAGAAACTCACTCAAAACCGCTCAACTACATGGAAAATGAACAACCTGCTCCGGAATGACCTCTGGGTAAATAACAAAATGAAGGCAGAAATAAAGATGTTCTTTGAAACCAACGAGAACAAAGACAAAACATACCAGAATCTCTGGGACACACTCAAAGCAGTGTGTAGAGGGAAATTTATAGCACTAAATGCCCACAAGAGAAAGCAGGAAAGATCCAAAATTGACACCCTAACATCACAATTAAAAGAACTTGAAAAGCAAGAGCAAACACATACAAAATCTAGCAGAAGGCAAGAAATAACTAAAATCAGAGCAGAACTGAAGGAAATAGAGAAACAAAAAACCCTTTGAAACATTAATGAATCCAGCAGCTGGTTTTCTGAAAAGATCAACAAAATTGATAGACCACTAGCAAGACTAATAAAGAAGAAAAGAGAGAAGAATCAAATAGAAGCAATAAAAAATGATAAAGGGGTTATCACCACCGATCCCACAGAAATACAATCTACCATCACAGAAAACTACAAACACCTCTACACAAATAAACTAGAAAATCTAGAAGAAATGGATAAATTCCTCGACACATACACCCTCCCAAGACTAAACCAGGAAGAAGTTGAATCTCTGAATAGACCAATAACAGGCTCTGAAATTGTGGCAATAATCAATAGCTTACCAACCAAAAAGAGTCCAGGACCAGGTGGATTCACAGCAGAATTCTACCAGAGGTACAAGGAGGAACTGGTACCATTCCTTCTGAAACTATTCCAATCAATAGAAAAAGAGGGATTCCTCTCTAACTAATTTTATGAGGCCAGCATCATCCTGATACCAAAGCCAGGCAGAGACACAACAAAAAAAGAGAATTTTAGACCAATATCCTTGATGAACATTGATGCAAAAATCCTCAATAAAATACTGGCAAAACGAATCCAGCAGCACATCAAAAACTTATCCACCATGATCCAGTGGCTTCATCCCTGGGATGCAAGGCTGGTTCAACGTATGCAAATCAATACACCCACTCCAGCATATAAACCTAACCAAAGACAAAAACCACAGGATTATCTCAATAGATGAAGAAAAGGCCTTTGACAAAATTCAACAGCCCTTCATGCTAAAAACTCTCAATAAATTAGGTATTGATGGGACGTATCTCAAAATAATAAGAGCTATCTATGACAAACCCACAGCCAATATCATACTGAATGGGCAAAAACTGGAAGCATTCCTTTTGAAAACTGGCACATGACAGGGATGTCCTCTCTCACCACTCCTATTCAACATAGTGTTGGAAGTTCTGGCCAGGGCAATCAGGCAGGAGAAGGAAACAAAGGGTATTCAATTAGGAAAAGAGGAAGTCAAATTGTCCCCGTTTGCAGATGACATGGTTGTATATCTAGAAAACCCCATTGTCTCAGCCAAAAATCTCCTTAAGCTGATAAGCAACTTCAGCAAAGTCTCAGGATACAAAATCAATGTACAAAAATCACAAGCATTCTTGTACACCAATCACAGACAAACAGAGTGCACAATAATGAGGGAACTCCCATTCACAATTGCTTCAAAGAGAATAAAATACCTAGGAACCCAACTTACAAGTGACATGAAGGACATCTTCAAGGATAACTGCAAACCACTGCTCAATGAAATAAAAGAGGATACAAACAAATGGAAGAACATTCCATGCTCTTGGGTTGGAAGAATCAATATCGTGAAAATGGCCATACTGCCCAAGGTAATTTATAGATTCAATGCCATCCCCATCAAGCTACCAATGACTTTCTTCACAGAATTGGAAAAAAAGACTTTAAAGTACATATGGAACCAAAAAAGAGCCCGCATTGCCAAGTCAATCCTAAGCCACAAGAACAAAGCTGGAGGCATCACGCTACCTGACTTCAAACTATACTACAAGGCTACAGTAACCAAAACAGCATGTTATTGGTACCAAAACACAGACATAGATCAATGGAACAGTACAGAGCCCTCAGAAATAATGCCGCATAGCTACAACTGTCTGATCTTTGACAAACCAGACAAAAACAAGCAATGGGGAAAGGAGTCCCTATTTAATAATGGTGCTGGGAAAACTGGCTAGCCATATGTAGAAAGCTGAAACTGGATCCCTTCCTTACACCTTATACAAAAATTAATTCAAGTTGGATCAAAGACTTACATGTTAGACCTAAAATCATAAAAACCCTAGAAGAATACCTAGGCAATACCATTCAGGACATAGGCGTGGGCAAGGACTTCATGTCTAAAACACCAAAAGCAATGGGAACAAAAGCCAAAATTGACAAAGGGGATCTAATTAAACTAAAGAGCTTCTGCACAGCAAAAGGAACTACCATCAGAGTGAACAGGCAACCTACAAAATGGGAGAAAATTTTTGCAACCTACTCATCTGACAAAGGGCCAATAACCAGAATCTACAATGAACTCAAACAAATTTATAAGTAACACACAAACAACCCCATCAAAAAGTGGGTGAAGGACACGAACAGACACTTCTCAAAAGAAGACATTTATGCAGCCAAAAAACACATGAAAAAATGCTCATCATCACTGGCCATCAGAGAAATGCAAATCAAAACCACAACGAGATACCATCTCACACCAGTTAGAATGGCGATCATTAAAAAGTCAGGAAACGGCAGGTGCTGGAGAGGATGTGGAGAAATAGGAACACTTTTACACTGTTGGTGGGACTGTAAACTAGTTCAACCATTGTGGAAGTCAGTGTGGCGATTCCTCAAGTATCTAGAACTAGAAATACCATGTGACCCAGCCATTCCATTACTGGGTATATACACAAAGGACTATAAATCATGCTGCTATAAAGACACATGCACACGTATGTTTATTGCAGCAGTATTCACAATAGCAAAGACTTGGAACCATCCGAAATGTCCAACAACGATAGAGTGGATTAAGAAAATGTGGCACATATACACCATGGAGTACTATGCAGCCACAAAAAATGATGAGTTTGTGTCCTATGTAGGGACATGGATGAAACTGGAAATCATCGTTCTCGGTAAACTCTCGCAAGGACAAAAACCAAACACCACATGTTATCATTCATAGGTGGGTATTGAACAATGAGAACACATGGACACAGGAAGGGGAACATCACACTTCCGGGACTGTTGTGGGGTGGGGTGAGTGGGGAGGGATAGCATTAGGAGACCTACCTAATGCTAAATGACGAGTTCATGGGTGCAGCACACCAACATGGCACATGAACACTTATGTTACAAACCTGCACATGGTCCACATGTATCCTAAGACTTAAGGTATAATAATAAAATAAAATAGAATAAAATAACAAAATATACACTAATACAGATTGACCAACTAAAAAAATTGTAGAGAAAGGTCATTTAAAAAATATGAAGGATAGAGTAATAATCTAACACGTTGAAATCTAAGAAGGAGAAAACAGCTTGTCTGAACAGCATTTTAAGTGGCAATGTTAGAGGTTTTATCAAAATCGACCAATAATATTAAACCACAGGTTCAGGAGGCTTTGCAAAGCAAAGGAAAACACACACAGAGGACACATCTAGAAACATAATGGGACAATTTCTGAAAAGTAAAAGAAAAATGTAAAGAGCACTTGATAAAAAAAAATTGGGCTAACTACAAAGAGAAAGAGGTAACTGATAACAACTTTCTCAAATGAAACAATGAAAGCCAACAAGTGAGGTATTGATATCTTTCAAGTCCTGAAATAAAATCAATGCTGACCTAGAACTGTCTACTTGGTGGACATATCCATCAAAAGCAAAGATACAATAAAGAATTTCTCCCAAGCAGACCCACAGGAAAAGAAATACTAAAGATTATTCTTCAGGTAGAAGAGCCATGATCCCTGATGAAAGTTTGCAGTTAGAAGAACAATTTTTTAATAAAAGAAATAAATATAGAAATTTAATTGGATATTGACTGTATAACAGAATGCTATCTCATAAAGTTTAAAATGTATCTTCCATAAAACGGCAGAAGCATATAAGTTGTGAGTTGGATAAATTAATTTTAAAATATTGTCAAGTTTTTTTTTTTTTTGCAAATAGACAGATGTATCAATTATATTAGACCCTGAATTCAGGAATGCACTTTGTATTAAACCAGGTAAAACATAACCAGACCAGATTTTTTAAATGGACTCTCTGAAAGTTTTTATAATTTATATTCATATTTCACATATGTTAAAAGTAAATAATGGAAAAGCATGCAATGCAAATATTAACCAAAATATAGCTTTAGTTGTACTTATATTCACATTTTAAAAGATGGACACAGTTAAGTCTCAGTGATTTTTTTACACAACGGAGGCAACCTGTGCAGTTATAACTAGTATTATATTATGCTCTTGGCCTGATTACAGAAGGGAAAGGGGCGATCATACCAGACAATGGCAGAATGAAGCAACAAGGAATAGAGTTACAGAACATGATGCTGTAACTGGGACTGGAGTTACTCTTTTAGAGTTAAAGAATAGTAAACAGGACAAAATATATGAAACTTTTTTTGAAGTACAGAACATCAGGCAGCACAGTACTGTGCTCCGCAAGAGAAGAGAAGGAGCCAGAATGAGTCCTGCTTTATTCCCAGATTCTCCGTGACAGCAGTAGAGAGGAATCCCAGAGAGAGCAGACATTGTCATTGCACTGAGGAACCAGATAAAAATCAAAAAAGGTTAAGTAGCTGGAATGTGTAGTAGAAGAGAACGTTTACAGAAAAAGGAAACAAGAATCAGCCTAAGGATTCTCCCAAGTCCCTAAGCCAAATGTACATAGGATGAAATTCTAAGGAGCTCAGCAAAGGACTCTACCAGGGAGTTGGAAGAAGAACACTTCCCTGGCATCACATGACAGCAAGACACGTCAGCTCTGACCAGCCAGAGAAGGGAATCCCCTCTGTACCTCCAGGATATTCAGTAAAGACCACTGGAGGTTCATGCCCTGGTGACAGTGCTCATTTAGCTCCAAATTACAGATGGCTCTAGACTAACTCCACAACGTTTAAAGAGAAGATTTAAAACAACAACAGAAAAATACTCATCCTGAAGTTACTGAACTGCCTGCCACAACATTGTTCAAAGGTAGCCAATCAAATCTAGATATTCAATAGCATAACACCAAAATACCCCCCAAAAAAAGCTCTGGCATACAAAGATGCCGTAAGATATATATAATTAAGATACATATTAACAGGATAAAAATAAGTCATTTATAAATGACAGAGAAGAAGGAAATTTCAAGGTCCTTAAAGTAAATATATTTTATAAATACATATAGATAAATACATATATATGTCAAGGTACTTAAATGAAAATTGAACATAGGAGAAAAATAGAAGTTATAAAATGAAAAATGTGACATGTATAGATGGAAAATAAATATTTGAAATAAAAATTCCATGAGATAGAATAAGTAATGGATTTTACCCTAACATCAGAAAATTTATAGAAAAAAAAAGAAGCTTCAAAAACTAAAGGACAATGGGTAAACTAAAATAAGAAAGCCAGAAGCTCACTGATACGTCAGACAATATGCAGCAGTGTAACATACATGTAATTATTGTCTCATAAAGGATGGGTGGGGGAATTATAGGTGAATAAAGAATGGTACACTCATTCCTGAGGGCACCGAGGAGGGAGGATAGCTTTAGATTTCTAAGGGAGGGTATTATCCATTCATGAAGGTCCAACCCCATGACCAAACACCTCCCAGTAAGCCCCACCTGCAACATTGGGGATCAAATTTTAACATGACATTGGAAGGGACAAGCATTCAAACCATTAGCAAGAGTTAAATTTCCTTTTAAAAACAATCACTGATATGATTCCATTTCGCCATAGATAAAAGCTAGTATTTCAGCCTACCATTGAGTGTACTTATAGCTCACCAAAAGGGCACTCTGTCTCGGGAATACAGATTTGCCTAGAGGTATCCTATTGCAATCAAAGAAGGAGCAATGAGGGATAGAAAAGGTTAGTGATGGAGACACCAGCGCTGCATTTTGCAACAAACAATGTAAAAATTTTACGGATTGGTTCTGCTAACTTACTACAGTTTACATTCCTCTCAGGTGGGAGAATTGTTGAGTTTTTTCTTAAGATAGAAAAGCAATTCAGATAATCTGAAATCTCCACAAGAAGGATAAGAAACACAGCAGAAACTATTCTAGGCAGGAAGTCAATCCTTTCAACTGTCTGTGCTCCATAGAAACAACTGTCTGCACTGGGAATCATATGCGGTACAGACCACAGCCAGACCTCTGATCCTCTCATTAGTGATTTCAGAAGAAATTACCAGTCAACTGAGTAATTCACTGAGTAAAGTAAACATTTGGCACTGAAAGAGGTTAGACGGATAACTATTAGTATCACCATATTCATGAAGCTGGAATATTTTCCATTACTGGTATCACATCCGAATGGAAGATGTGAAAAAGTCTCTCATCTTGTAAGATGGATATGAAAGAACATTTTCTGGGAAATGAAATTATTAACACACCTGCGAGGTGGATGGAAGAGAAAAAAAAGAATAATCAGCTTGAGTTCTTCTCCTTGATAAGACAACTCACTAAAAACATAAAGAGAAAAATACAAGTTTAAAATAATTAACCAGAAGAAGACGACTCTAGAGTTTTTAAATTGCTGATAAGATTTTAATTTGCTCCAAGTTGAAAATAATTATATTGCTTGTGTTTTAAGGCACATAATGAGCAATTATATCACACGTGATAATTTCAGCAGTAAAATATCCGTTAACAGCTGGCACTCATAAAAGCATAGCACAATGTGAAGATGCAATTTGCTAAAATAAACCATCTGCTGAAAACTGCTATTCTGCAAATTTAAAAATAAAGTTTAAATGTTATTTGTCTTATTTAATAGGTCTGTGAAAAAATGCGCTATTTGAAAAGTAGCTGCTACCTTAATTCTTTATATTAGACGGCTGGTTACAGTAATGCACAGTAAGGTGCTACATAGATATATTGCTAAATTTTCTGCATATACTATGAATTTGGCTTAAATTATTTGAAATTTTATAGTTAAAATAACAAATGTATATTTAAATGTTTTGACACAAATTACAAATATACGTTTAAAAAGCGTCTTACACTCTAAATATTATTTGTCACCTATATATTTGTCTTTTCTCTATAGGAAAGTTTAAATTTTTCCCTTGAAGCTTTAATTATTTGAGTCTATAAAATAAACTGATAACGCACAAATTAACAGGAAAAAAAGGTCTACAGATATGTGCACCAGTATGCACTTGGAGTTTACATAATATATATAAATATATCTATACAAATATTTGTATATTATAAATGGATATACAAATATATACTATATATATAAAAACTCCAGGAAAGACAAGGCAGTCAACACGCCTATGTCTTGAGGTTACAGAAAACACAGAGCTGTAGGTTGGTAAATCAGGCTTTGCAGAAGACAGGTGATGACAAGGAAGAAAGAGGAGCCTGGCAGCAGAGGTGGTCTTGTTACATGGATGAAACCTCACAGGGAGCAGCCCTCCTCTTGGGAAGTATAGATAGGAAATGGTTTTTAGAAATGTAAACGTGCCAGGCTCAGTTAATCTTTCCTAAACCCAGACAAGGGAGTATCTCAGGGAAAGCCTGTCTATATCAATGCAGATTTTCTCTACAAATGCAAATCGCCCCAACAAACACATCTTTTCAGCTATTCTTGTAGAAGAAGCTATCTCCAGTCTTCTGAGTAGCCATCTTGAAATATGTCAAAAAGCTGGCCAGGAGCACGCCTGTAATCCCAGCACTTTGGGAGGCTGAAGTGGGTAGATCACCTGAAGCCAGGAGTTGGAGACCAGCCTGACCAACCTGGTGAAACCCCGTCTCTACTAAATACAAAAAATTAGCCGAGTGTGGCGGTGCATGCCTGTAATCTCAGCTACGTGGGAGGCTGTGCTAGAATTACTTGACCCTGGGAGGCTGAGGTTGCAGTGAGCCAAGATTGTGCCATTGCACTCTAGCCTGGGCAATAAAAGCAAAACTCCATCTCAAAAAAAATAGTGTATTTTAGGGTAATATTTTGAGTATCCTTACCTCCGTATGTACAATAAATATTATTGTGATTTTTAATCTTTTCTGTGGAGAAAACACAGGTGTGATTTCTAGTGTAGATGAACATCGTTTATTTGACAATATTGCACTTGTGTGTGGGTGTGTGCGTGCGTAGCTACTCTTTAATTTTGTTCTCACATAATGATTAGATATTAACAATTCAGTAAAATGTATGTTTTGCAATATTTCTCCATGTTACTATGCTTTAAATTAGTTTAATCATGCCCCTATAATGTGTACATTTTAACCTTTGACTATAGGTCTCAATCTTACTTTGGTTCCTGTATTTGAATTTATGCTAATAAAGTCCTATAGCTAAAAAAGATTATATAAACTTATCTGCATTTTTACTAGTATTCTGGTGTCATTTTAAATTATGTAATGAAATCAAATTTTAATTTGGATTATTGTTATCTGAGTTAAGGATCTAAATTTTTAATTTTCTTATAAATATTACATAATTATTTCTGAACCATATATTGACTAATCTGCCCTTTGTATGATGTGCATTATAAGAGCTTGGGATTGTTTCATTTGCAAAGATGAATGCTTGAGAAGTAGATATTTAATCATAACATTTCAAAATCTACTGGATAACCTAGAATTGAAAAATAGCCTATAGGTTGAAAAACTCCTGTAGTGAAGAAAGAAAATAACTAATATACAGTGACAATATAAATATTATAAGTATTTATTTTATTATCGCCCTGAAATTTGATAACACAAACATGTAATATCTACATATCATCCATATATCAGGTCATAAAAAATCAATACATTCTTCAAAAATTTAGCGTAACAGAAAATGCACTCTCCTTGATGGAATTAAGTTACAAATAAAAGTAAAAATAAGTAGATAAGTAGATGGAAGTAGATGTTTAAAAACAAAGAAAAATGTTTGTTTTGGATAACATAAAATCTCAATTGACAATTCCAATATTTCCAGAAATTTGCCTGTCAACTGGTGGAGAGTTTTCCCCAGGAGACATTTGTCAATGTCTAGGGTTATTGTGGGGATGTCAAGACTGGTGGAGGTGTGAAATTTAGAGGTCAAACGAAACACCTAGCATTGCTAGGGCAGCCTCCCACAACACAGAATCCTCTGGTCCTAAAGGTAAGTAGCACCAAGGTTGAGAAACCATAATCTAGACAGTAAACACTACGTAGCTATTCCAAGTGCTCAGGAAAACACATCAGTGCCCTCGAGGGGAGAAGTGTAAACATTTTAATTGCTGTACATGGTGACACAAATCCATGTTGTTAATGTAAGTGGAAGGGGCTGAAGCACAAAACGTAATTCGAAGAGTTTACTTGAGCCAAAATGAGGACAGCTGCCTGAGAGAAACAGACCCAAGTATCCTTGGATATGAATTCCCTTTGGAGCTTTGCAACAAGCAGTTTCTTAAAGGCAAAAAAGGGTCCAGAAGTGGGATGATGCAAAGAGGCTTGTCATAAATTCTCATTGGCTTATGGAAATGACATTTATTAGTGACTGGCTATACACTGTTACACTATTATTGGGTGTGGATTATAGTGTCTGGTGTGGCATTATTGGTTAATTTATAGCTAATGTGGCAACAGCAAGCAGCCTAGATGAACACACAGCTCAAAGAGGAGCAGGACAGAACTGCTGTCTCATTTGAATATCTCTCTGGGCCTGATTATTTAAAAGGACTTGCATTTCTCACATGAAAGTTATTTTCTTTTCTCAATGTCCATAAATGAGAATAAATAGACGTAAAATAGATCTTTTTGAGGATGAAGTAAATGGAATGAAAAACAAAACCCAAGCTGACCAGAAATCATAGAGGGAAGAAAAGGTTATAAATATATGGATTTTTCAAAGTGATTTTAAGCTATTAGGAATCAGTTAAATGTTGGGGGATTTTGTCTGAGTATGGGCTAAAGGAGAATGTCCCTTTTGCCTTCTGAAGTTTCCCTGAAAATCACTAATAAGAGGCAGATAAATAGTAGAAAAGGCATACAGGTTTCTGCAATGTGTGTACACTGGAGCCCTTAGAACGAAGACCCAGACACACGATGCGTGCAGAAGCTTATCTACCACATGAAGTTTACAGAAAGAATGGGGTCTTGGATCACAGGGAAAAAAAAAAAAAGGTTATGTGAGAAAACGACCCTGGCTAGCAACAGTGGACTTATTACGTAGGTGGAACCTCACTGGGAGCAGTCCTCAGAGAGAATAGACAGAAAATGTTTCTTTCAGACCTCTGGAGACCTCAGACTCTCAGTTAAACTTTCCTAGATCCAGACAAAGGGGCAGACCTCAGAGAAAGCCTGGCTGCATCGAGGCAGATTCTCTACCGATGCAAATCTCCCCAAGACAGCTTTGCAGCTATGTTTACATTTCCAGCCCTTCTGAATAGCCATTTTGAAATATATCAAGGAAATATATTTAGGGGTAAAATATATTAGTTTCCTTCATACAGCTATAAAACATGCAGGAATAATTTTTGTCAATGTCTACTACAAATCCAATATAGCAGTAATTATAAAACCCAGCAGATATTGTAGAAAAAATATGTAGAGTACATCAATTACAAATGTTGATACTAAAATGCCAAATAAAATAAAAATAATATCCAACAATATTTGAAACAGTAAGACAAGAAATTGGCAACAAAAAAAAAAACAAATATCCACCTTGGGGATGAAAGTGTGTTTCCAAATTTGGTAATCCAATAATATTAATAATCATATTGATTAGCCCAAATTAAAAATAGGGGATTCTCAGTACATGCTAAAATATATTTGTTAAAAGACAATATCCATGTCTTTAAAGATTTTAAATGCTATAAAGAATCTGATATTCTATATGCAAAGATGTGTATGTCCATTAGAAGAAGAGGCCTGATTTTCATATGTTACTACATAGAGATAGAGAAGTGGATAGATTAATTTGCATATGCATAGAGAAAGCATAAAATAGAAATTTACTATCATATTAAAGGAATTTTAATTCAACAATAAAATAATTCAAAGGTAAAATTTTAAATATTTTTAGCAGGTACATTATTAATATTAGCTAATATTTATAATAATTGTGAAAATATTCAATGCTAAAATAAGATACAATGTCTAAACATCAGTATTAAAACTAGTATAAATATTTGCTTGTTTATACAAGGAAAATTCAAGCTTGACCTGAAATTATATAGGAAATAAAAGAAAAAATTTAAGGGAGCTCTTTAATAACATGAACATATATATATACACACACACATATAACATGTATATATGTTATATGGGATAGATATAGATTTAACATGTTATATCTATATTTGTATCTATAACTATAGCTGTATGTATCTACATTTCTATATATTTACTCAGTGATATAAATATAGACTGGAATAAATATAAAGACACATATGATTCTTGGATAAAAAGGATTTAGTATCATAAAGACAAATTCTTTCCAAATTCATTTATGAATTCACAACAATATACAGTTTCATTAGTATAATTTAAATTTTTTAAATAAATTCCAAGATTCATTTAAAGGAATATACATGTATACAAGCAATCAAGAAAGAAGCAAGAGTGCACTAAACTGACTTGCTATTAAAATACATTTTTAAACTTAGTAACTAACACTGAGCAGTACTGATTTGGAGTACTGGAATTTATGTATATGGGATCTCAAAAGCACAGAGCTCAAAGGAGACCCCTTTATGCACGAGAGCTTAGGATGTGCTTTATTTAGAAGGCATTACCAAACCACGGGCAAAGTTACTTTAGTGTCTTAGTCTTACTAGGTTTGAAAAGCCAGAGAAAAGACTCAAGACCGCCATATGAGAGCAAAACAAAAGGACAGGGAGAGAATGTGAAGATACTGAAACATTTTACACAAAGTTGTATAAAACATCCTTTAAAGAAAATATAAAATTTAGGATATACATCAAAATCAGCAGAGCCACTAAATAAATAAATAGGCATTCTAAAATAGCAAGAGAAAATTTAAATGGATTTCTAAAAAATATTGACACCTATGATTTTTAAAATATGTTTAAGAAATCCCATATTTCACAGGGCAGCCTTTCACAACACAGATATGTTAGGACATAAAGGTCCTTCTGTTTTTAATTTACTAGTGTTTATAGGGTTACAAATGTCTTCTACCCTTGTCTTTTGTCTGATGGTGCAAAAAATTTTCATAAGCATGTATTTCTGAATGCCTGATGGATTGACATATATAATATGCTGCTAGTATTAAAATATGTGATGGAAAACGCATCCAATCTTCTCACTGTTTACATAAATTCTATGTTTCTCCTATTTACCTCAACCGTTGGATACAACCTACCTGACTCACCCCACAGACCTCACAGCACACATGGACAGCCCCCACACGCCAGAGTGACCTGCTCGGTTGCAGCAGGAGTCAAGAAATGTGCCTGCTGGCACTCACCCCACTGACTAGTGCCCCGTGGAAAACTTATGTGGGTAATGTTCTGGGCCCAATAAACGCTGGAGTCTCACAGACCCCTTTTCTCTCTCCTGCTCTCCACTCATCTTCCCCATTTTGTTCAGCCCTATGAGGTGTGCTACTGTATTAGTCCATTTTCACACCGCCGGTAAAGACATTCCCAAGACTGGGTAATTTCCAGAAGAAAGAGGTTTAATAGACGCACAGTTCCACATGGCTGGGTAGGCCTCACAATCATGGCACAAGGTGAGAGGCACGTCTCACATGGCAGCAGACAAGACAAGAGAGCTTGTGCAGGGAAACTCCCCTTCATAAAACCATCAGATCTTGTAAGACTTATTCACTATCAGAAGAACAGCATGGGAAAGACCTGCCCCCATAATTCAATTACCTCCCAGCTGTTCCCTCCCACAACATGTGGGAATTCAAGATGAGATTTGGCTGGGGACACAGCTAAACCGTCTTCTCAGCTACCCTCTTCTCTCTGGATCTGTGAGTAATAAACCTACTTCTGTGATTTCCCATGTTTGGTTCTGTGGCCTCCATGGGTCTGAGCTGACCTACACTGGAACCTAACTCTCCTCCTGGCCAGGGTCTCTGAGAGTGGCTCTTGTCAGAAATACGCAGGACACAGGTCAGGCAACAGTCACCAGGCATCTCCTAGTCTCAACAGATGTTCTGTGAGAGGGAGGCCTGGTCGTGGGATGCACACCTGGCCACTGCTGGGGTAAGGAAGTGTCCTGTGAAAGGCACATGTTAAGCATCCACAACCCCCTGACCAGAACCCTAGAAAGGCAGGGCTCCAATTGACAGTCACTCTCCAGAGACAAACCTCAAGCCCTAACTGGAGGAAAAGAAAACACTGTAAAAAGTTGAATTTATCTTACTATTTCAATGATCCAGTAAAGACATTCTATGCCTGTACACCACATATTTTCTTTGATTGTGGATTTATTTTAGATAGAATTTTATGTCTGGCTTTCACTTTAGCCTGGGCCCTACCTCAAGCATAAGGTAAAGATTTTCCATGGGCTCTTTTCTGGTACTACTATCTGCCAGTGTTGGGTCATGTCCTAGTCTATCTTGAGGGAATCCCCCTGTTCATTATTGTCAGAGTGAGACTGTTAAGTCTTGATTTCCCTGGACAACTTCACTGCATGACTTTTAATATGATTTTTTAATATACCCTCTACTGGACAATAAATTATATAGTTATCTGAGTAAGAGATATGGTCAGGAAGAGGCATTGCCTCATTCAGCTTTTCTCTTTGGTGAACTCGCATATTTTCTCCTCACCCGCCAGTCACCTCTAAACCGTATTGTTCCAAGACAACAAACAGAACCCGAGTGTGTATCTTTCACCAATGGATTTGTGTTTGCTCCATAAAGCTTCATGCTTAATAGGGTTTCTGTTAGCATTTTCTCTATTTATTTTCCCATAAAATATCACAGGCCTTCTTCATATGGAATTATGGGTGATTTCCTTCAATCTGCATCATATCAAGTTGAGGTTCATGTTGATGGAAAGTATAACATACTTTGAAAATATCAGTAATGATGTTTTCCCTTCCTTTTTAGCACCTGTGCTTGTGATACAAGCACATTTTAATACAATTGTAGTCTCATGCTTTGATCATTCCTATGATGAAAATAACATTTTTAGATAAAATATCTGAGTTTTATGAGGCCTTTAGTATGTGATGTGATAGAATATCAGAAGACCATACTTTTTTCTAGTTTTCCATGCAATTCTATCATTGTTTCATCTTTACTCCTACCAGAGTAATTTTCCAAAATAGATATCTTGTCATTCTTCCTGTTGTTATCAGTAAATAAGTGAAATGAAAAGCTAGATTATATAATTTATCTAGAACAAGAAAGTAGAATTGAATCTATATTCATTAATGAGACTAACCAGTCAATTACACAGATAGGCATTTTATATTTTGAAGATCATATGGACCCATTGTCAGAAATATTATTTATGTCTATATGGACATCACCTGTGCATATTTACATAGAAATCAATGAGAGCTGATTTTCATTTTTATTATATATATTTTTTGAGATAGGGTCTTGCTTTGTTGCCCAGGCTGGAGTGCAGTGGTGCAATCACTGCTCACTGCAGCCTCAGCCTCCCAAGCTCAAGCAATCCTTCCACCTTGGCCTCCCAAATAGCTAGGACAACATGTACACATCACCATGCTCACATTTTTTTTTTTTTAACTTTTGATAGAGACTGGGTCTTGCTATGTTGCCCAGGTTGCTTTTGAACTCCTGGGCTCAAGGAATCCTCTCATTTCAGCCTCTTCAACTGCTGCTATTACAAGCATGAACCACCATATGGGCTGGAAGCTGATTTTTAAAATACTGAGATCATATAGATGACAGCACCTGAAAAATAGACAACACCAAGCTTTATGTGAAAAGGTGTGAGGGTATCAATATTGTTGTGGCTATTGGGGAGGAAAACATTAGTAAAACCAGTAAGTTAAAGCTCTTGCTTTAAACTTTGGCTTTAATTTAACAAATGTTCTGTGGAGTGACAGTATGTATGTAACCATGCTATGCCCATTCACAGATGCAGTAGAGGTAAGAATTTCTCAAAGACAACTGTTCTAAGGCTCTAATTAAACCGTACTGGGTTTGAAAAGAGAAAGTCCAGGAATTACCAAATATTTTATATATCAGATAAAAGAGAATGCCAGGTATGCGACAATAATCAGCAATGGTTGTTCACACAATACATCAAATCAGTATTTGAATTAGCTTTTGAATTACAAGGACAAATGGATCAAGTCTAGACTCTTTAGTAAATAAATCTTCTTAGGCTGAGATGTGCTTTCCCCCGTTTTTCCACAAGGAGATTACAAATTTGCAAACCTCAGCTGCTCTCATTTTATGCTCTCACCAAGCCAAAAGCTGAAGTTCATCAATCAGTGTGTCTAAGTGTTCACTGGTTATATACCATTTTGTAGTTTCAGCTATCTTTCCAACTTCCTAAATCATCACCTTCATTTGATCTTGTTTTTTTCCACTATCACTTCTTTATTGACCATATAAAGAATATAAGTAAGTTCTTATTTTGTTATTGTTCATTTTAGTCTAATTTCATCAAAATGTAACAATCTTTTAATTTCATTTTAATTTCAAAGATTAAATGAAACCTACATAGAAATGAGTGTAAGATTTGCATTTGCATTACTTTGGCATCAATTTGCTATCCTCCCTCATGCAGATAGAGACCATTTCCATGTACGTGATTTCAAACATCCAAGTGCAGTATTAAAAGCAGTTGTAAATTATGGTTCTCATTTTCATGTTACAATTACAATATAAACTTCCTCTTGCTGCTGTAACCAATTACCACAAACTTCATATCTTACAATAAAGTGACCGTTAATCCTACAGTTCTGTAGTTCAGAAGCCTTAAATGAAACTCACAGGGCTAACATCAAGTTTTGGGCAGGGCTGCAGTCTTTCTGAGGGCTATGTGGCAGAATCTATTACTTGATTTTTTTCAGCATCCAGAGGCCACCTTTATTCCTTGGAACATGACCTCGTTCTTATATCCTATTTTTCTTTTTTTTTTTTTTTGAGATGGATTCTCCTTCTGTCACCCAGTGTGGAGTGCAGTGGCATGATCTCCGCTCACTGCAACCTCTGCCTCCCGGGTTCAAGTGATTCTTCTGCCTCAGCTTCCTGAGTAGCTTGGACTACAGGCACTTGCCACCATGCCCAGTTAATTTTTTGTGTTTTTAGTAGGGATGGGGTTTCACCATGTTAGCCAGGATGGTCTCGATCTCCTGACCTCGTGATAAACACACCCCAGCCTCCCAAAGTGCTGGGATTAGGCGTGAGCCACTGCGCTGGGTCCTCATTCTTGTATCTTAAAAGTCAGTGATGTTGAGTAATTTCTCATGCCACCACCTCCAAGGTTGCCTTTTTTCTGCCTTCTTCTTTTACTTATAAGGAAGTTTGTGATTTCATTGATCCCACCCATTTAAGACAATCTCTCTGTCATTTTTCTGCAACCTTAATTTCACTTGAAATCTAATTTCACACCGCCGTGCAACCTAACATATTTGTATGTTAGACTCTGGGAATTAGGACGTGAAAATTTTTGGGAGGCCATTCTTTTGCCTACAGCAGACATAATCTATTTACCTGCAGATTAAAGCATCCTTTATTTTTCTGTCTCCCTCTCTTAATTTTTTTAAAATAATATGAAATGTAGTAAAGAGAAAGAAAGAAAAGAAAACAAAGAAAAAGACGGAAGGAAAGAAGGAAGGAAGGAAATAAAGAAAGAAAGAAAGAAGAAAGAAAAGAAGGAGGAAATGAGGGAAGGGAGGGAGGGAGGAAGGGAGAAAGGCAGCAAGGGAGAACAAAGAAAGCATGAACACAAGAAAGAAAGAAGGAAAGAAAGAAAGAGAAAGAAAGAGAAACAGAGAAAGAAAGAAAGAAAAGGAGGAAGGGAGGAAGTAAAGGAGGAAGAGAGAATGGTAAAAGGGAGGAAGGCAAAGAAACAAAGAAAATAAAGAGGTGAAGGAAGGAAAAAGCGGAAAGGAAGGGAGGGAGGAAGGAAGAAAAGAAGGGTGGGAGGAAGGGAGAAAAAAGGAAAGAAAACAAGAACGTGAGAAAGAAAATATGAGAAAAGGAAGAAAAGGGAGGGAGAAAGGAAGGGAGGGAGGAGGGAAGGAAGAATAAGAGGAAAGAAAGAAAGAAGGAAGGAAGAAAAAAGAAAGAAAATAAAGAAAGGAAAAGAAAGAAAAGAAAAGGAAGAGGAAAAGAAGAAAGGAAGGAAGAAGGCAAGGGAAGGGAAGAGAAGAGAAAGGAAGATGGAAAGAAGGAAGGAAGAACGCAAATATTAGAAATTCTGGGTTTGTTAGAGAATATGCCATACTGTTTTTTTTTTTCACTTGAAAGGAAAGAGTATCTGCCATTGAAGATTGGATGTCTTGTTGATGATATTGTTCTTATCTTCCACATGATTACTGAGTTTGTGCCTAGTCTTTCCATTACTAAGACAAAAGTGTTGAAGTCTGCAAATATAATTTTGGATTTTTCTAGTTCACCTTTGATTTCTTTCCTGTTTTACCTCATGTATTTGGAGGTTCTGTTGTTAGCTGCATACCCTAATTAGTAGGATGTTTACATCTTCTTGAGAATTGATTTTTCTACTATCTATTATCTCTCATCTCTGATACGATTTATTGTTCCGAACTCTGTTGTGTCTAATATCAATGTAGTCCTTCCACAGCCTTATTTTAGTGTTTCCATGATATGGCTTTCTCCATATCTTGATGATAACCTATTTGTATCTCTATATATTTGGAGCAAGATATAAAATTTAGAGTTGATTTTTTAAAGATTTTTCAAGATGGAATTCTTATTTATTTTTGTTCTATTTGACATTCTCTGAGTTTCCTATATCTGAAGTTTGATTTTCTGTCACTTCTTTTAGAATATTTTTGGCAGTTATTTTGAAATATATTTCTTTTGCTCCATTATTTTTTTCCTCTTTTCTTTTTGGGATTTCAATTATAACTAAGGTAGGTAATTTCATCTCAGTCTTATGCAGGTACTTTTTCTCAGGGTCTCAGGAATGTAGCCTTCTCACACTTCTGTTCCTTTCCTGGCTGTGTTGGTGAGCTCAGTGATATTCCTCCTTCACCTTCAAGAGCAGTTTTGTTTTGTTTTTCCTGTTTTCATACTCCCAGCATCAGGAGTATTCTAAGTGTGGCAGTTTTTGTTGCCTTCCCCTACATATTAAGTGGAATATCTTGGTCTATTCGGACTCTTATAACAAAATAACATAAACCGGGTGACTAAAAAACAACAGATATTTCTTTTTTCACACTTCTTGAGGCTGTAAGATCTCAGGTCAAGATGCTCACAAATTCAGTGTTGATGAGAGCCCATTTCATGGTTCATAGATAGTGCCTTCTTTCTATATCCTCACATAGTGGAAGGCACACAGGAACTCCATTGAGCTTCTTTTATAAGGGCACTAATCCCATTCACAAGGGCTCGGCCCCCAAGACCTGGTCACCTCCCAAGTGTTCTGCTCTCCCTGATCTGTATCATATACAGACTCTCTTGAGTTCCTTACCAATTGCTTGAGAGATCACAGTGGGTTTGTGGGGAAAAAGTTTTCAAGATGATGGATCTTTCCCAACTTCTGCAGCTGTCAGCGGTCTCCCAATCTCACCAGCCCCACTTTGTCTTTAGGAATTTATTGATTATTCCAGCTTTACTTGTCATAGTGGTGTCTATTTGCATCTGTCCTATGTAAGTGCATCTGTCCTTTTTCTCCTTGCAGGTGCAAGTACTCAGGAGTACACTGTTGTTACTAATTACTCAGTATTGGTTGGTACATTGTCAAAGATCAAAAAACATTTTAAAGATAAAAAAAAATCTTGGAAGTTGTGTAATGAAGGGTTAATTCTGCAGACATGGCTTTCCAAAACCTTCCGCGTTCCAAAGGTCTTCAGGACTGGCCCTTGACAAGCTCCTGGGAGATGATAACCTATGAGCCCTTGGTATATGCTGCCTGATGAGAGTCTTTGTATACCTGCAAACGTAGATCATATCACATAGCTTATGCTAACAACGTGATTTCTTCTGAGCACCTGTTTCTGTATGCCTATGACTTTGTGTAATGCCATATTAATATGACCTCTCTTAGGGCATAGGGAGGTTGGGAACTAAATACCTAAGTTCAGTCACAGGACGCTCGATGCATATGTGGTGGAATCCTAATAAAAACCCTGGACTCAAGACTGACTGAACTTCCCTAGTTGGCAACAAGTTCACACATGTTGTCTCACACCATTGTAAAGAAAATTAGTCAGTGTGAAGTCCCCACTATGAAAGGACACCTGTAAGCTCACATCTGGTTTGTCTTGGACTCAATTTTATGTGCTTTTATGCTTCTGATTATTTTAATCTGGTTTCTTTCACTGTTAGAAACTATAACCACAAAAGAAAATCAGCTTTCTTGAGTTATGTGAATCATTAAACCAAAGGGGGACTTGGGGACCCCCAATAAAAAGTATATATATTCTTAAAAAGAAAAAGAAAACTGGCCACAGCAGATATTGCTGATGACTTGTCTTCTATGTCCTGGACTCAACGTGTTCACCTGAAATTCACCTGTTTCCAGCTAACTGAGAGCTCCCCACATCATGCCTGTCTTTCTGATTTTTGGGCCTGCCTGCAAGCTTCTTGAGGCTAACCAGTGCTTCTCAACCACACATAGGAACAAAGAAGGAGTTAGGGGTGGAGAGTTAATGATTCTAAGGCAATCCTTAAACAATAAGAGATGGGAATTCCAGCATCCCCATCTCTTTGTAAAGTTATTTTGAGACAATCTCCATACCTCCATCATTACTGAGCACATAGCAGTAACTACTCATTCACACTGGCTTCGTGTTCTGTTTCATTTTCTCCACTTCTGTGCTTTCTCACTCAATTTCTGATTAAAGTACCTGACCCCAGATATTTGTTTCATAGTCTATTTTTGAGGGAATCCAGAGCCAAGACAATAACAATGGAAGCTTTGAAATGAGGGAGGGTGAGTATAATCATCAGAAGGTTACCTACCTCACTGGGAACATGAAGGCCTGGAGAGCTTGCTGTTTCAGTGAGAGAAACATGATGAATCTCAGTTGAATACCTATATATATATATGTGCAATAAGACGTGCCCTTTACTTATATCAAAGGAAAGTGCTCTTTACCTCTCTTTGTTGTTGTGTTTTTATCACTATTGCCTACACAAGCAGAATATCATACCCAGGATTTAAAGCCCTCTCTGCAGGATTTTCAAGCTCATGTTTTTATCATAAGTCACTCTGCTTCCATGTGTTTTAAATCTAATCCTCATTCCTCTGCTTTTACACCAGAGAATTCATCACTGACTTATTTTTGACTGACCTTTTTATAGAGCTGTCAAGTACACAATTTCTGCTGTGACCTTTCTCTTAGAGTTCAGTCATATAGCCTCTCACTAGATATCATTTCCTCTTATCTTTCCTAATAATGAATTGTCAGTTAAAACTCAATATTTTTAAGATTGAGCTTACCATCTGCACACACACACACCATTATTGGTGTATTCTCATAGCCTTGAAACACTAATGTCACGTTGATGTCTGCCTTTTCTCTCTCTGCTACTTCATTCCTCATCCTTAGATTATTCTAAAAGATTCAACTAGATCATGTTGGCTAATTATATTTTTAAGATCCTCTCTACCCTTACCAACTCTTCGTTTAACAAAATTTAAAAATTTCTGGCAGGAGACTGTTGAAATCCCCATGGATGACTGTGGTTTTACTATTTTACCTTTCAGTTTTAATAGGTTTTATATTATGTATTTTGAAGTACTGCTATTGTGTGCATACATATTTCTTATTTACATGACTTCTTGGTGTATTTTCCCCTTTGTCATTTTGAAATGTTATTCTTCATCCCCAGTGATATTTCCTCTTCTGACGTCTACTTTGCTCTTCACAATTTTAGGGGGTTTTGGTTTGTTTGTTTTTCTATTTTTTGGATCAAGTAAGTTTCTTAGAAATCTGTTTGATTCCATTTGATGATTCCATTTGATTCCATTCGAGGATTCCACTCGATTCCATTAGATGATGATTCCATTCGTGTCCATTCAATGATTCCATTCGAGTCCATTTGATGATTCCATTCAATTCCATTCGATGATGATTCCATTCGAGTCCATTCGATGATTCCATCCGATTCCATTCAATAATGACACAATGCGAGTCCCTTCGTTGATTCCATTCGATTCCATTCTATGATGACTGCATTCGTTTCCATTCGATGATGATTCTAACGGATTCCATTCGGTTGCACCATTCGATTCCATTAGATGATGGTTCCACTAGATTCCATTCGATGATGATTTCATTAGATTCCTTTCGATGATGATCCAATTCGATTATATTCAATGATGATTCTATTCAATTGCATTCAATAATTTCATTCAATTCCATTCGAAGATTCCATTC